>NT_187606.1:300000-430880 GCF_000001405.40 Homo sapiens | reverse complement strand
GAATTCTTTTTTTTTTTTTTTGTATTCTTGAATGGTGGAACAGTCCTTTTAAATTATAGTGAGTTAACACTCTTTGTTTTGATTTATTTAAGGCATTCGTGATGAGTTCCCCTGAGGTAACAGGAGAATCCCCAGAGGGCAGGTCTAAAGGTTGGTTTGTATGCTAAAAACGGGTCTTGGTTGCAAGTAGCTATTGATTTTAGGAGTAACTTGACTAAGAGTGTTACTTGTTTCTTTATTCTTGGCCAGCATAATATGCTGCTTTATGTACCATCCTGACAGATTTAGCCCCACTTCCTACAATCCCCTTTGATAAAAGTGTGGGAGTAGCTCTCCTCTGTTGGAAGAGAACAGTTACTGTGAAGGGCAGGTTGGTTTTTTTGTGTCTTTTTACAGAACACTTAATCTCTTACTACTTAACACCTGTGCTCTCTGCATTCTGGCTTTGTGCTCCTGGGTTCTGGCCCTGACACCATCTGTCTGTCTCCCATGTGTCTGCCCTTTCTCCTGAGGCTTTTTGTTTTTGTTTTTGTTTTTTTTTAAAGCTGTAATCTTGGAATTGTTGTGAAGCTCAAAAGGTGTTAGAGACCTGTCTCCTACATATAACTTGGAGTTGACACCAAAGCCAGATATAATCTCTGACATCCTCTTTTCATGGACTAGGAGAATTAAGTTTAGAATGGAAAGTGATTACCCTAATTTTATACTGTGAGCAGGGAATAGAGACAGAACTTGAACCCACGTTTTCTCATTTCTAGACTAGTACTATTTGTAAAATTCATACACTCTTACCTCTGCTGTGTTGGTCTCTTATTGTACTTGAAATGTCCATTTGGTTTGTAAGACTATGGCTTCCTTTTTTTTTTTTTTCCTTATCTGATCAATCTTGTCTTGTCTTGGTACTTGCAGGCTTCCTTTTCTCCCCAAATGCCGCATTCTTCACAGTTCAACCCTGTTGGATCATTCCTGTCTCCTTATATATACAGGAGACCCATGTGTTCCTATAGAAGCACCAGTTGACTGTTGTGTGCCCAAGTTTTAGATTGAGCTCTTTAGCCTTGGTTGTTCTGAAGACTTATACTTCTGATTGGACTACCGAATGCGTGTATCTATCTGAGGTATGTTAAACCCAGCAGATATAAAAACAGAACCAATTTCTTCCTTTTCCTCATCAGAAATAACATCAGAAGTAGGCAGGTAAAAGATTTAAAGGTTATTGCCAAAACAGGCATAGTGTAGGGAGTGGGAAGGACATTCTAGGCAAAAGGAACAACATGTATAAGGACAAGGAGATATGAAACAGGGCTGTTTTTAGGCAACTAGAAGTACAGTATTGCTAGAATTTTAAGCGCAAGGGGTACTAGCTTATGACCTGGTAGTCCACTTGTGTTCCTATGTGCAAGAGAAATGAGCACATATGAGTATAAAAAGGCATGCACAAGAATATTCACAGCAGTTTTATTCATAATATTCAAAATCTGAAGAAAAAGCAAGCTAGTTGTGGCACCTGTAGTACCAGCTACCGGGGAGGCTGAGGCAGGAGAATCCCTTGAGCCTAGGAGTTCAATTCTGGTCTGGACCACATATCCAGACCCTGTCCCTAAAAATAGGACAAAACAACAAACGCCTGTTATGTCTGGTCCCCCAAGACAGTGCCTAAATTAGATGATTGACTAGGAAGATTCACAGGAGTCAGCATATAGTGGTTCTCATAGCTAAGCTTACAGCTAAAGGATATGGAGAAAAACCATCAAAGGGAAAAGGCACGTGGGGTGAAATCTGGTACAAGCTTCCAATGTTCTTTTCCCGGGAGAGTTAAACAGGACATAGTTTAATTCCCCTACAACTGACAACATATGTAAAATGTTGCCAGCCAGAATAGCTTGTTAGAATCTGGGCACCCAGAGAGAGAGAGAGAGAGAGAGTGTTTGCGCGTGTGTGTCTGAGGACTGGTTGAATAGGTAGCCTCTGCCTGAAATGTACCAAAATTTCAGACTCCAGGAGGAAAGCCGATGTTCAGCATAAACCATATTGTTTGTTCCTTTGGGTATAGTAAGTCACTCAGTTCTGGGAATGGTGGGAACTCAAAATTTAGGTTCCCAGATGGTAGCTAAAAGACACCAGTCAGACCTGTTACTTTAAATCTTTTCTGTACACCCTTGAGCAGGAATATGGATAAATACATATATCCACATCTATTAATATGTAGCACAGTGATAAAAACCACTGTTCTATACTTTAATGTGTAGACATGTCAGATACTAAGTTAAGTGGGGAAAAAAAAAAAGCCAGACCCAAAAGAATACCCACATGATTGCATTTATAAGAGGTTCAAAAATGGGCAAAACTAACTGGTAACAACAGAAGCCTGAATAGTAAACTCTTTGGGGGATAGTGTGGGAAAGGGCACAGGGGAACCTTATAGAGTGTTGGAAATGTTCTGTGTCTTGCTGTGTGTGGTGGTTGCTCCGGTATGTACAGATAAGTGAATGTTGATCAAGATACACACTTATAACTATTGTCCTTTTATTGAGAGGGAACACACAACAGAATAAAGTAGGAATAGACCAGGAGGGACTTAACTTGGCCACTAAGCTGAAGGCGGACCATGAAGGGTTTTATATGCTATTGATAAGGAACTTGGCCTTTACTCTGTGGCAGCAGTTCTCCAAGCTAGGTCCATGCCTGCCTAGTGGTCACCAAAACCCTTTAAGAGGCTATAAAGTCAGAAGTATTTTTATAATTCTAAGACGTGGTTGATTTCTGCTCCCCCACCCCACTGTGTTGACATTTGTACCGATAGTGCAAAAGCAATGGGGGTGAGTAAAACAGCTGGCACTTACTTAGCAGGAATCAGGGCAATGCCATTAAACTGTAGTAGCAGTCATTGTATTCTTCATGGTACACATTCCCAGAAAAGCCAGTGTCACTTACAAATGTCCTTGAGGAAGCAGTAAAATTAATTTCATTACATCTCAGCCCTTGAATATATGCCTTTAATATTCTGTGTGACAAATGAGAAGTCAGTATAAAGTACTTTTGCTTCATATCCAAGTATGATGATTGTCTCAAGGAAATGTGACTGAGTTTCAAGAATAAGCCTCTTTTTTTCCTTTGAAAACCTTTTTTTTCTTTACCAGAAGAACAACTAACAAACTATGGTTATTCAACTTTGGGTATTTGGCAGACATTTTCTTGAAAATCAACCAAGTAAGTCAGTCACTTCATAAGAAATAGCTCACTTTATTTGTTGCCAGTGATACAATTTGAGCACTGAAGAAAAAAATAAGAATTTTGGAAGACCTTTATCTGCCACCACATGAGCTTGACACTTGCCCCAATACTTGAAGTCCCCTGGTGAGATTGGTGGTACTATTTACTATTAACTAGTGTGTCAACGTTTGTTATATTTGCATAATTCAAGCCAATATTTGTCAAATGACTAACAGATAGGAGTAAAAGATCCATCCAAAATGCAAGATTGACCCATGTGTTTTAATGTAACAGCATATGAAGAGTACATATGGTTTCAGATTCCATATTGTAACTAATCTTTAAGAAGTTACCATTTGTTGGGAATTTTGGTGTAGTATTAATAGCCACAGTTGTCTGACAATGATATTAAAATACTCCTTTTTCCAACTATGTATCTGTGTGAGGCTGGATTTTCTTCATATACTTCAACCAGAATAACACATGACAACACATTAAATACAGAAACAGACCAGAAAATCCCGCTATCTTATATTAAACCAGATACTAAAGAGATCTGCAAAAATGTCAATGCCACTCCATAAATTTTTTTTGTCTTGGAAAATCATTGTGTTAATATGTAATAGGTTTTTTTAATGGTTAATAAATCTACCCCTTTTTAATTTCTAATGGGTGAATATTCATATGACCTACTTACACAAAAAGCTCTTGAGTAATTAAAAGTACTTAAAATTACCTCAGTAATTTTTAAGAGTATAAAGGAGTCCTCAGACCAAAAAGTTTGTGGACCACTGCCCTCTGGAGTAGGTGATTAGATTTGTACTTTCCAGAGATCCTGTAAGAATATCCAGGCAGGAATGAAGACGTCTTAAAAGGCTCAGGAAATGTCCATAGGATTTGATAAGGCACAGTGAACTTGGTTTGAAAAAAAGTGTTTCAGAATAGCATGTGTGGAAAGGGAGAGAAGCATCTGATGCTTGCCTTCGAGGGTTAAAGAGATGAGTAAAGGCCGTAGAGATGGGGTACTCCGTACGGAGGGCTGATGGGGATGCTAGGGAAAGACAGGCTGGCTACTAGAGGGAAGAGCAGGGTTAAGAAAAGTTCTAAACATGGGAGAGACCTGATGATGTTTACAAAGGTGTGAGAGCTGTGGCAGGTATAACCAAGAGGCCCTGTGGGTATGAGAAAAAATGGACTCCAAAATTGCTTTTTAAATAGGAAGAAGGATACCTTGTCAGTAAGTGCAGAAAAAGGATAGTAATGGAAGCTGTGTCAAATTGGTGAGGGCAAGAGTAGGGTCATGTAGACCAACTGTCCAGAGCCTTTAGTTTCTTTTATTCCTCAGGAGAATTTATGAGACTCTGTCATTCTCACATTACAAATAAAAAGACCTGCTTAGAGAAATTGAAAATCTTGGTCAAAGTTCCCTAGTTAATGGAGCACTGGGGCTTAAATCAGAATCCCAGACTCCAAGTTCCCTCTTCTGCATCAAGGCAGCCAGAGAAGCATTATATGGAGAGGTGATGGAGACCAGGTCCAAGAACAGCTCTGAGACAACTCTGGAGCCTTTGTTTTTTTATTGATGAAGAATGGTCTGTGGTCCAAACCTAAAACCCCAAATCCCAAAATGACTTTAGTGGCTGAGAATTTTGACAGGGAGAAGAGGTAGAATTGATGAATATTTCTCTTGATGTATCTAAAATCTTAAGAAAGGAGTCACTACCATTTATGAAGGTTATGAGTGAGGTGGTAAAAATACCTATGACAGGAGTGTGATACGGGTCTGCCTTTCATGTGGTATCTGTATTGAGTGCCTGCAAATGCAGCAGATACTATTCTGGGGCAGTGCTGAGATACAGGTTGTGAGGGACCTTTATAGTTTATCAGATTGGTGAGCTTACAGTCCATACAGTTAGCAGTGTGACAGGTAAGTGATGAGAGTTAAAATTATAGTGACCATGTGCTTTCAATATTCTTGAGGTGTTTTGGTATGAAATATTCTCTAATGTTCTCATAAACCTGTCCTGGAAATTGTAGTATTTCCTCTTCCACACTGAGTTAAGAGAGCAAAAAGAACATTGGACAATAGATGTACCCTATGAAAAATGAAGAATAACCAGAGATGGAAAGGGAGAGCCAGGAGAAAGTGATTCCTGACTTGAGTGGAGAATAGCTGAAGGGTCAGATCCTACAAAGATGCAGGGTAAGATAGACTTGAAGTATCAGTTGGATTTGGCAGCTATGAAGGCATTAATTTGGGAGCAGTTGTTTAGTGTCTTTTTGGGGAAGGGGAGAGATCAGTGCTGGCAGGACATTGTGGATTGAGAGGATGAACAGGAAGTTAAATAAAGATCATATATTTTCAAGAAGGTTGATAGTATAGCAGAAGAAATTGGCAATGAATTGGGAGGATATTTTAAATCAAGGAAGGTGTGGTGGTTTTTTAAGGTGAAAGAGTCTTGAACATACTGACAAACTGAAGGGGAGCCAGTGGAGAAGAGAGGAAAGTCAGGTGATGCAGGGAGAGGAGATCTTGTATCTGTTGATGGATTTATCTTTCCGACACAGGAAGGAGGTTAGGACCTGTAGCTTTATCTCGTTTATTCCTGGTGAGCCTTCCTGTCCAGCCCTGTTGGACTACTTTGTTTTCTTGAATTTACTGTGTTCTGTATCCTCTCTGTGCTTGTTCTCTGTGTGTTAATGCTTTTTCTCATGCCTGCTTATTGAAATTCTGCATTTTCATTATTCTCTAGCCAAAACATCTGAGTTGTGAAACCATTTTAGATACCCTACTTTATTCCTCTCTTCTATAGCATTTTATGCTTGATCTCCACTTAGCTAACTAGATTTGTTTCTTTTTCCTACCTGAATAATTCTCCTGAGGGCAAGGAGTATGTTTTATATATACATATCTGTAATCTCAACATCTAACCTAGTGGGTTGTCAGCATTTACGAAATAATATTAGGTTGAACTATGTGAAATTGCCATTTTGTTGGTTGAAAAAGGTAAAATACTGACAATTTCATATGGACCAACCTGATAAATTTTTATTCCTGACATTGTTGCATAGAAGACTTGAGGTAGGACCAAGGAGAAATTTAAACACAGAGAAGCATCTCTCAGCAAACTATAGAGTCATTAAAGTAGAGCCAAAATCTGGCTTTGAGTGAGCTGGTGACTAAAGCAAATAGAGAAATTTGGCTAGAAGACTTACATTCTTCCATAAGGAAAATGTATTCTTCATGGGAATCTGTAGCATTTCCTGATCTGTGGTCTGAATGACATTTCTCTAAATGAGTGTTCATATAAGGGCTCTTCAAAATCGTAATAGAATATGCCTAAAATCCTGAGTATCCGTGCTATAGAAATTTTGTTTAGCTTTATTATTGGTATAAAACTAAAGGCAGGCCAGGCATGTGGCTCATGCCTGTAATCCCAGCACTTTGGGAGGCTGAGGCGGGCGGATCACCTGAGGTCAGGAGTTTGAGACCAGCCTGGCCAACATGGCGAAACCCCATCTCTACTAAAAATATAAAAAATTAGCTGGGTGTGGTGACACATGCCTGTAGTCCCAGCTACTCAGGAGGCATAGGCACCAGAATTGCTTGAACCCAGGAGGTGGAGGTTGTGGTGAGCCGAAATTGTACCACTGCACTCCTGGGCGACAGAGCGAGACTCTGTTTCAAAAATAAAAATAGAAAAATAAAGGCAAATTGCCAGAGTACGTCTCAGCAGAACCAGTTATTTGGGACATCTAAGTATATTACTTTCTGCTACTCTGGCTTAATTAAAAAAGTCTAAATGTTCAAGACCAATGCATTTAAAAACCATCTGATTAAATGGAGGAAAAATACTTCAGAAAAATTTTTAGTGTGAACACATTTTTGTCAGGAGGATTACTACATTCCAATCCATGGGACCCCAGTTTTAGAACTCTCTCTGGAGGACTGAGTAAACCTTGGGCCCTTCAAACAGTCTTCTATAAATTTCTCAACTGGCTATTAATCCATTGTACATGATTAATAGTAATAGTCTTGAAGGGTCTTCAGCATTGGTATTATGTTGTCCATTAAAGGCAAACTGAATAAAAATCAACCCAGAGATGATAGTTGGCATTCATTTACGACAGGTGAGTATCCCCAAGTAAAGATTTTGAGCTGCCAGAATGGCCATCCTATCACAATGCTGGGTCTGGGGAGTATGATATTTAAAGGCAGGGCCAAGGTTTCCAAATTAGACAATTGTTCATTTCTTCTATACAAATAAATATAAAATTTGGGGATCTTTAGCAAACATATCTACAAAGTGTGGTTCAGATTTTTAAAGAAAAAGTTATGAGTGATACTTCTGAACCATAGATGGAAAAAAAAAAAAACCAGTTATATGCTAAAACAAGTAAATAAGCTTCTTGATGAACTTGGCTAGGATGAATAAGTTGAAACCATACCTCTGAGTAACAGTGATATAATTTAATAACTGGTGTGTAATTGGACATCTGCCACTAAAAGTATTTATTGAGCATATCCATGTACTTTATGTATTTCTGACTACTACGAAGTCTGCAAAGTAGGTGCTACCCTCTTTTTTTTTTTTTTATACCTTTAGGTAACCAAGGCTCAGAGTGATACCTAAGTGGTAGACCTGGTGTTTGTATTGCAAAGCCTGTGTTCTTTCTGCTTTTCAAAACAATGATTCCCACTTTTAAGGAGGAGGAGGAGGATTTTCCTTTGTGGAGGAGGGAAATGCTTTTCTTCAGACCATTTCCCTCACCTTTGTTGTCCTAGTTGATGATCATGGCTATAGGAAAACAGTTTCATGATAGGAGTGTCAGCTCTTATCTATTGGAGAGGAGAAAATTGAGGCCTGATCTAAAATAACTTGGATTAGGGCCAGGCACTGTGGCTCATGCCTATAATCCCAGCGCTTTGGGAGGCTGAGGCAGGCAGATCACCTGAGGTCAGGAGTTTGAGACCAGCCTGGCCAACATGGTGAAACCCTGTCTCTACCAAAAGTACAAAAATTAGCCAGGCGTGGTGGCACATGCCTGTAATCCCAGCTACTCGGGAGGCTGAGGCAGGAGAATCACTTGAACCCGGGAGGCAGAGGTTACAGAGAGCGGAGATTGAGCCATTGCGCTCCAGCGTGGGCGACAAGAGCAAAACTCTGTCTCAAATAAAATAACTTGTATTAGGTGAGTTTCCTCAAAAGCCATTCTTTCTAACAATAGGTAGATAGGTAGAACTAGTTTTATCTTGAGGGTATTTGTGTCTATATCATTAGCATTAAACAATTGTTTTTAAATTAATTTTTTAATTAAAGAATTGTTTTTGTTTTACAGCATTGCCAAGTAATTCTTCCTGTTGACTCCTGATTTTCGGTAGTATTAAGGTTTGCACTCTATTAAGTCTCTGATTTATCTTAAAGCCTTCTTTCCCGTTGACAGTAGAAGACCAACTAAAGGTCAAAAAAAAGCTACAAGTGACCTCACTTTATGGCAAAATATGCTGAAAATAAGGGCAGGAACTGTCAGGCAATAGTAGAATAACCAAGAGAAAAACATTTTTTATCATGGTAAAACATTGGTCTGAATGCAGATCTATACATTGATGAAAGTTCAGATGGACTACACAAAGTAAATGGGTCTGTGAGTATGGGGTGGATAGTAGGTTTCTGTTTTGAAAATGAGGAACTATGAATTCATATAACTGGACGGTTTAAAAGGATCAGTATTGGCTAGATGTGGTAGCTCATGCCTGTAATCCCAGCACTTTGAGAGGCTGAGGCAGGAGCAGCGCTTGAGCCCGGGAATTCAAGACCAGCCTGGACAACATAGCGAGACCTTTTCTCTGAGGGGAAAAAAAAAAGTTAAAAAAAAAAATTAGCTGGGCATGGTGGCGCCTGTCTGTAGTCCAGCTACTTGGGACGCTGAGGCAGGAAGATTGCTTGAGCCCAGGAGATCAAGGCTGCAGTGAGCTGTGATTGCAGCACTGTGCTCCAACCTAGGGGACAGAACAAGACCCCATCTCTTAAAAAATGTGTGTGTGTGTGTGTGAATATACACAGTACACATGTCGAGCAGCCCTAATCTGAAATGCTCCAAAATCTGAAACTTTTGGAACACCAGTATGTCACAAGTAGAAATTAGACACCTGAATTCATGATGGGTGACAGTTAAAACACAGTCAAAATTTAATTTCATGTACAGAATTACTAAAAATATTGTATAAAATTAACTTCAGGCTATGTGTATGAAGTATATATAAAAAATAAATGAATTTGGCTGGGCGCAGTGGCTCACGCCTGTAATCCCAGCACTTTGGGAGGCCAAGGTGGGCGGATCATGAGGTCAGGAGATCAAGACCATCCTGACTAATGTGGTGAAACCCCATCTCTACTAAAAATACAAAAAAATGAGCCGGGCGTGGTGGCGGGCGTATGTAGTCCCAGCTACTCCAGAGGCTGAGGCGAGAGAATCCTGTGAACCCGGGAGGCGGAGCTTGCAGTGAGCCGAGATCACACCATTGCACTCCAGCCTGGGCGACAGAACGAGACTCCGTCTCAAAAAAAAAAAAAAAAAGAGAAAAAAATAAATGAATTCTGTGTTTAGACTTGGGCCCTATCCCTAAGATAGGTCATTATGTATATGCAAATGTTCCAGCTTCCAAAAAAAAAAAAATCCAAATCTGAAACACTTCTTGGTCATCTCAGCATTTCTGATGAGAGATACTGAACCTGTAGTGGATTCAGCCCTTAGGTCTATTTGAATCATATCTCTTGCCTTTTAATTAAGCATTTTAAGTCAAATGATTAAGAGGAAGAGTTAGGGGGTACCAGGAATAGAAGGGCCTGGAGTCTTCAGAGAAATAGTTGCCATAGGTCTTTGGTTCACTTAATGAGCCAATAGATCCTTCCTCAAGGATCCCTGTGGTGGCCTCTGAATAATAATAATGATACGACTGATAGACAGTATTCGTTGGTTCAGCACATAATTACATGTCAGGCCCTATGCTAAGTACTTTATGTGCATTAATTCACAAAAAGCCTTATGAGATAGTATTACTTTTATCCCTATTGTACACAAAGGAGAGTAGTAGATCTGTTCGCCATCTGACAGTCCTGGCTTTGATTTTTTTTTTTTCCTTCCAAATTGGTTAAGGCAAACATTGGTAATTATAAGATGAAACAGTTTGGAATATACATTGAACACCTCATTCACTTTTATTATAATGTCATCTTAAGCTAGAGCTCTGGCTTGATGTATGTGAGAGAAGGGGAGGGAGGCATGTCAGATATCATTTGCCTTGATTTGGGAAGGTGTGTATGTTCCTAACAGGATTAGGAGTGGGGCAGGGTGACCAGACACATTCCTAAATTAGATTTTTTTTTCAGACTCCTTGAAATAGTAAGATTTCCTTCCTCTCCTAAGGAATACCTTTCTCCCAGACTCCCAAGTCTGCATCTGTTCCCTAGACTACTGTGGTACTTTCTCACTAATCCTTCTGCCACTTATCTGTCATGTAGTTGCTGGTGGTCTCCTTCTAAGACTCACTTTGTTATTTACTTGCCTTTAGATGTGGCCAGGATCTGGAATCCATGTAGTCCATATATATATAGTACTTTTATTACAGTAATTAAAAGCTAGGTTAATTTTTGTGTATTGAAAAGACACAATTTTGTGTATTGAAAGACAATGCTGACTCCTTAATTTGGCATATGAGGCTTTTCCAATTTTCTCTCCTATACCTAATGCTGTACCACACTGGACCACTTTTGATAATGCCTCTCTACTCTCTTGTGTTCTTTAGAACTTCCTCTTTACCCCCATTTCCAGGCACATTCTGTCCCTCCAGGCCACCTTGGCTTGGAGGACAATGTACATTTACAGCACGTTGTAGTCTGTGTTGTGGATGTTTACAGGATCGGGTCTTAGTTCTTTTTCTTTCTTTTTTTTTTTGAGACAGGGTCTTGCTCTGTCACCCATGCTGGAGTGTGGTGGCACAATCTCTGCTCACTGCAACCTCTGCCTCCTGGGTTCAAGCATTCCTCCTACCTCAGCTTCCTGAGTAGCTGGGACTACAGGCATGTACCACCATACCTGTCTAATGTTTTGTATTTTTTGTAGAAACAGGGTTTCGCCATGTTGCCCAGGCTGGTTTTGAGCTCCTGCCTGCCAAAAGTTCTTTTCCAGACTTCAAAACTTTATTTTGGTTTAGTCTGTGTCTAATCTGCTGCCCCTTGGGGTGCTCACTATAGAGAGCAGGCAGTCGGCTAATGTTTATTAGGCAGTGAAGAATGAAGCATGTAGCCTTAAGATAATGCAGATTGTGCTAGGCAATGGCACGTGCCTGTAGTCTCAGCTACTCAGGAGGCCAAGGTGGGAGGAGCACTTGAGCCCAGGAGTTTCAAGTTCAGCCTGGGCAACACAGCGAGACCTCCTCTCTGCAGGTTATAAATCTTTGCATCTTAGCCTTCATGAAGTTGCCTTCCTGAAATTGAGAATCAGCTTAGAAATCTACAGTTGTGAAAAGGGCCTTGTGTGTCACTGGATTTAACAGTTCTCAATGGCACCACTCTAGAGAGCTTGGGAAAACAACCTTGTAGGATTGTGTATTTTGGTCGTCTTCACAGTTTGCAGAGGGTACCAATCTTCAAGAACTTGAGGCTGACGTGAGGCTCAAGTTTGTCCCTTTAAGGTCATCCTGCAGAGTTGGTAAAACTGTAAATGCTCTTGGTCATTCTCATGCTCACTTGGATTTTAGTAGGCCAAACAAAATGACATTGGGCCTCTTCTTGTTTTGTTTTGATGTGACCAGCTTATGAGATATTAAGTGCCAGTTTCATTACTTGGTCTGTTTTTGTTTTCCGCAAGATAATTGAGGATAATAGAACTGATGAGGCAGGCTCCCCTTAAAAAACTCAATCTGTCAACCAATATTTCATTGCTTCTTATGTTGGGCATTGGCTGTGGAGAGTGAGGGAGACCGGAGTGAAGAATGGTACCTACATTTCTGCTTTGGGCATCTGGTGGATGGTGGTGTTATTTACCGAGATAGGGAATACCAAAAGAATAGTTTTTGTGTAAGGGTTCATGATTTTTTATATATATATATAGGAGTTCTTTTTTCATTCGGTAATGTCTTACCCATCTTCTCATGCCAGTTAATAAAGTTGTATGTACTAATAATGACCACATAGAGTTGTATAACTTAATCAGTTTGGGTGGTTTTACCACTGTTGGTACTTACCTCTCTTGTATTCAATAATTAGTGTTTGCAGATACAAATTAGCAGCTACTGTATGCCATGCAAAATGCTTTACATATGTCATCAAAAAGTTGGTATCCTTTTTCCATTTCACAAATGGGGAAACTGAGGGATAGAGGTTAAGTAACTGTGATATCACACAGCCAATAAATGGCAGAATGAAAATTTTTAAACAGCTGTATTGACATAAAATCTACATACCCTAAAGTTCACCTTTAATGTACAGTTCATTGGTTTTTAGTCCAGTTGACTCTTGGACAGTGTGGGAGTTAGGAGGACCAACCCCCACAGTCAAATATCTATGTATAACTTTGACTCCCCCAAAACTTGACTAATAGCCTGCTGTTGACCGGAAGCCTTACCGATAACATAAACAGTTGATCACATGTTTTGTATGTTACATGTATTTTATACCGTATTCTTACGATAAAGTAGGCTAGAGAAAAAATGTTACTAGAAAATCATAAGAGAAAATATATTTACTGTTCATTAAGTGGAAGTGAATCATAAAGATCTTCATATTTACTGTTTTCACATTGAGCAGGCCGAGGAAGAGGAAGGATTGATTGGTCTTGCTCTCTCAGGGGTGGCAAAGGTGGAAGGATGTGGAGCGGATGTAAGGAGAAGCAGGCACAGTCAGTGTAACTTTACAGAAATAATTTCTGTCTGACTTTTTGCTTTTTCATTTCTGTAAAAATGTTTCTATGTGGTACCAATCCTAATTCCACCATTTGCGTTAGTTTCAGTGCCTGTGTAATAGAAGGGTCTGTATTGTAAAAGAAGTCAAAAGCAGCCTTGAATAATCGGAACCCTTTTGCCAGATCATCTAATGTCAATATGTTTTCTGGCATTGCTACTTCAACATCGTCTTCCATGTCTGGCACTGGTTTGGAGCACTCATCTCTATCAGATTGTCTTCTGCTAATTCCTCTGGTATGTTAACTCTTGGATTTCTCCAAGGTCCATGTCTTGGAAATCTTCACTCCCAACCTTTTTTTGTCATATCTACAGTTTCTTTCATGATTTCCTGTATTGGCTCTGTGGTAAATCTGTGAAGTCATGTACAACATCTGGAAACAGTTTTTTTAAGCAGGAATTTATTATTTTGGGCATGATGGCTTTCATGGATTTTTCTGTAACAATGATGGCATTGTCACTGGTGTAATTCTTCTAGACTTTCATGACCTTCTCTCTATTGGGGTTCTCTTCCACAGCATTAACAATCCTTTCTGTAGAGTAGCATGTGTAATGAGCCTTAAAGGTCTTTATGACCCCTTGATCTGGAGGCTGACTTAGAGATGTTGTATTTGGGGGCATGTATACCTCTTTGTTGTTGAATTCATGGCATTCTGGGTGGCCAGGGGCATTGTCCAGTATTAAAAGAACTTCTGAGTACCTTGTTCATCATAAACACTCATTAAGTGTTTTAATATATTAAAAAAAGTCCTTTACTGGCAAGGTACTTTCTGACTCCAGGAACAAAATATCAATTGAACCAATTCTGAAAAAGAGTTCTTGTCCAGACCTTCTTGTTGTACAACCAAAAGACTGGCAGCTGGTGTTTACCTTTTCCCTTAAGGCCCAGAGGTTAGCAGCTTTATAGATAAAGGCAATCCTAATCATAAACCTGACTATATTTGTAGAAAACTAGTAGAGTTAGCCTACCCCTTTTTGCCTTAAATCCTGGTGCTTGATTCTCTTCCTTAATAGTATCCTTTGTGGAAATTTTTCCACAAATTGGCCAAGAATATTTTGGTATTTTTTTCTTACAGTTCCGAGTACTTAGCTCATAGTAAACACTCATTAAGTGTTTTAATGTATAAAGAAGATACTTAAGTCCTTCCTACTTTATCTAATTCGTAATGTGGAGAGAAAGGGGGTCATAAAGGAGTGTAGAAAACCTAAATATCTTTTTTTTTCTGTGTCTAGGAAGAAGAAGCAGGAAGGATAAAAGATTGCTGGGACAACCAGGAAGCACCTGCTCTCTCCACGTGTAGTAATGCCAATATCTTTCGAAGGATAAATGCCATATTGGATAATTCTCTGGATTTCAGTAGAGTCTGCACTACACCTATAAACCGAGGAATTCATGATCATTTGCCAGGTGATTTAGGTTTGAAAACTTGAACGTGGTAGGCATCTGTACAGATCTGCTTCTAAGTAGTGCATGTAAGAGGTCTTCCTTGGAAAGCTTGTGAAGAACAATGTTGAGTTGCTGGCAATACTTGCCTTTTTGTGGTTTAGTTTATGGATTGAATCCCTCTCTGGGTGAAGACTGCCTTTGATTAGGATGTGTAAACCTACTTTATGATACACAGAAAGGTTGGGGAAAAAAGAAAAGGTCACAGATTACACAAGTATTTATATAAAGAGATATAATGTGGATCACATATGTTACAGATTTTCTGGTAGCCATGTTAAAATTAAGATACAGATGAAATTAATATTTTATTTAACCCAATATATTATAATATGACAACATTTAATATGAAAACTATTAATGAGATTTTTTTTATTAGTACTACGACTTCAAAATCCAGTGTGGATTTTACAAGCATATCTCAACATGGACATTTCAGGTGTTTAGTGGCTACTGCACTGGACAGTGTAGCTCTCGAATGTTTTAACAGCTTTTAAACATGAGTCAGCACGCATTTAGTTTCTGTATCTATTGGATACTCCAAGGAATAGTGGAGATAGAGGGCAGCATCCCCTGAAGTTGACTCTTTCCAAGAGGTGTGGATGTCCTAATGGTGTTTAATTTTGTGGGAGTTGCAACCCATTATAAGAATGTTGAAGTGTTCTGGGTTTGAGTTATTTATTTTATTTTATATTTTCTTTTTCTTTCTTTCTTTTTGTTTTTTGGGACGGAGTCTCACTCTGTTGCCAGGTTGGAGTGCAGTGGTGTGATCTCGGCTCACTGCAACCTCCAACTCCCTGGTTCAAGCGGTTATCCTGCCTCAGCCTCCCTAGTAGCTGGGATTACAGGCACGCGCCACCACACCCAGCTAATTTTTGTATTTTTAGTAGAGATGGGGTTTCACCATGTTGGCCAGGATGGTCTCGATGTCCTGACCTTGTGATCTGCGTGCCTTGGCCTCCCAAAGTGCTGGGATTATAGGTGTGAGCCACTGCACCCGGCCTTTATTTTATATTTTGTTTTTCTTTCTTTTTTTTGAGACAGAGTCTAGCTCTTTCGCCCAGGTTGGAATGCAGTGGTGCGATCTCAGCTCACTGTAACCTCTGCCTCCTGGGTTCAAGCAATTCTCCTGCCTCAGTCTCCCAAGTAGCTGGGATTACAGGCACCCGCCACCACACCTGGCTAATTTTTTGTATTTTTAGTAGAGATGGGGTTTCGCCATGTTGGCCAGGCTGGTCTCAAACTCCTGACGTCAGGTGATCCACCCACCTCGGCCTCCCAAAGTGCTGGGATTACAGGCACGAGCCACTGTGCCTGGCCTGTTTCAGTTGTTTTAGATGAAAGAATATATGTTTAATTTTTAAAAATGGACCTTGAAAACAATTAGCCACAATGGGGATTCTCAAAACAAGGACTGATAATTACAGTCAACCCTTGAGCAACACTACGTTGGACTGTGCAGGTCCACTTACATGCAGATGTTTTTCAACCAAAGCTGGAAAATGTGGTATTCAAGGGATGTAAAACCCACACGTATGGAGGGCTGACTTTTCTGGTATAGGTGGGTTCCTCAGGACCAACTGCAAGACTTGAGTATGTGCGGATTTTGGTATACTCTGGGGGTCCTGGAACCAATTCCCTACATATACCAAAGGACAACTACTGTTTTTAGTTGTAAATTCTTTTATTTATTTTTTTAACTTGGCGTTAGAAATAATTCCCACAAAAATGCAGGAGTATGTGAGCAGTAAATAGCGTAATGTTTGAGGGAGAGGCATATTAAGGGAGTGACTAACTTGTGGCATTTGCTTCTGTCGTACAGGAAGGCAAATGAGAGAAGGGCATACTTGGGGGTGGGGGTGGTTTTTGTCTCTTCTGACTTGTACAAAAGAAAAATGTAAGTCATGAGCTAGCCCAATTCTCTTTTAGTTTACGCTGAGTTAAAAGTTCAGGGAGTCATCTTTCTTAGTTCTAATACATGTTCTGTTTTTCTCCTTTGAGAAAATTGCATGTATTATGTCCCAGTAAGAATGACAGGCCAGGCATGGTGACTTAAGCCTGTAATTAAGGCTGGAGCAGGTGGATCACTTGAAGCCAGGAGTTTGAGACCAGCCTGGGCAACATGGTGAAACCCCGTTTACAAAAAAATAGAAAAATTAGCCAGATGTGGGGTGTGCACCTAGTTGCAGCTACTTGGAGGGTGAAGTGGGAGGATCACTTGAGCCTGGGAGGTCGAGACTGCGGTGAACTGTGGTTGTGGCACTGTACTACAGCCTGGGTGACAGAGCAGGACCCCTGCCCACCTCTGCCAAAAAAAAAAAAAGTATGACACTCAACAATTCAACAATGACTTAAACCTCACTGGGTTGTTTCAGAGATGCTGGAAACTTTTCTAGTTTACAGGAAAATATTTTTCAGCTAATACTAGGTGTTGGACTTCAGGGAAAGGACCCATGATTGATGGGAGAGGAGCTTTCCAGAGTGTATGTTTGCAGCTGTCCAGGGAGCCCAGTGACTTCACTGGTAAGATGCCAGGGTCTGGTGACGATGTTGTTACCATTATACTCTGCCCAGGGTCAGTAGCCGAAGTACAAGTTAAAGACTTCTCGGGCTCTTCAGCTCCTTCTCAGCCTCTTAGAACATTCTAAGAGAAGCAGGAGGAAGATCTTGAGGAAATTGGGAAACCTGGGTTCTAAGCTTGACCCTGGGCAGTGAGATAAAGAGGTCAGTTTTCTCAGCTGCAGGACAGAATGGTACCTGCTCAACCTGCCTCACAGGTTTCTTATGGGGCTCAGATGTTAAGACAATACTGCAGATTTAAGGGAACTCAAGGAATTCTAGGAAAGGTTTCTGTCAAAGGTAGCTGATGTTCTTGAGCCTTTCACGTATACCCAGCCCCTCCCATGTGTGGTGAACTCTCTCTGCTTTCCACTTGTGATTCAGCTCAGGGCTGTGGGCCTGTATTCTCGAATGGTGAAACAAGGATGCCTGGCCTACAGCAGAGAGCATTTTTTCTGTGGTCACCAGCAAAAATACCAACCTTGTGATTAATGAGAAAGTAAACTAGGATATATATTTTTCTATGAAGAACCTTAAGAAATAACCCAAACTTGTAGCTTCTGATCAAAAGTAATTTTGTTCCTTGAAGGAAATAATCAGAATTATGAAAACCTAAGATTGTTTATGGACAGCATTATAACTAGGGACAATTTGGCAACAGAATGTTAAGTAAATGATAGGAGAGCTATACCATGGAATATCATGTACCATAAAATATAATGTTTATAGAAGACTACTTAATGGCAAAGAAAGATAACTACAGTGTCTGAAATGAAAAAAAGCGAAGTGTAAAACAGGTGTAAAAAAAAGTGTAAAAAGAATGGCCTTAAATATATATGCATAGAAAAACACTGGAATGATATAAATGTGACAGTGAAGGTAGGTAATAGCAGAAAAAAATTATGGGTAATTTTTTTTTCCTGAGACGGAGTCCCGCTCTGTTGTCCAGGCTGGAGTGCAGTGGCGTGATCTCGGCTCACTGCAACCTCCAACTCCCGGGTCCAAGTGAGTCTCCTGCCTCAGTCTCCTGAGTAACTGGGATTACGGGTATGCCCCACCACGCCTGGCTAATTTTTGTATTAGTAGAGATGGGGGTTTCACCACATTGGCCAGGCTGGTCTTGAACTCCTGACCTCAAGTGATCCACCTGCCTTGGCCTCCCAAACTGCTGGGATTACAGGCGTGAGCCACCGCACCTGGCTGGGTAATTTTTTTCTGTATGCTTTTCCCCACTAGTTCTTCTAAAACAAACATTTTGTAATAAATTTTCAAATGGTGTGTTTCCTAACACAGTGTTTCACATTGCTAGTTGCATGCATAACCCAGTTGATAAAGCATCATTGGAAAAGTGCTGTGATAGGGTCAGGAAGAGGTTGGTTTGGTTTGAGAACTAGGAAACACTTCTGGTTAAAGCAGCATTTGAAATAGGCTTTGAAGAGAATTAAAATTACTTTAGTCTTAACTGGATGTTGAGTAGATTATTTTTTTTCTGTTGCTCCAGAATTGGCCATTAGGGCCCAAAGCTGAGACTAAAGAGCTGTTAAATGACCTGTGGTGTAATGAGAATCCCTAAGAGGTGGGACCAGATACCTCCCGCCAGGGCTTACCAAAAGGTCACAGAGCTGTCCCTCCTACCACAAACATTAGCTCAACCCTTCCCTGGCTTATAAAGAGGATCACATAAGGAGGGGGGTAGCATTTGAAGTGATTCCGTCCCCGTCCGTGGAGGAGGGTGGGGTAGGATGTGGCTTTGTCATTTAAGCCAAGCAAGAGGGTCTTCCAAGAGAAGTATTTGTATAGATGGAGAATGCTTCCAAGAAAGAAGACAAGGTTGAACCCCTGGTTAGACAGCTGACTTGCTGTCTATCCCTGACTGAATAGAAATTAATGAAGAAGAGATGTGGGCTGGGTGCAGTGACTCATGCCTGTAGTAATCTCAGCACTTTGGGAGGCCGAGGTGGGCAGATCACTTGAGGTCAGGAGTTTGAGACCAGCCTGACCAACATGGCGAAACCTTGTCTCTATTAAAAATAGAAAAATTAACCGGGCATGATGGTGCGTGCCTGTAGTCCGGGAGGCTGAGGCAGGAGAATTGCTTGAACCGGGGAGTCGGAGGTTGCAGTGAGCCGAGGTTGCACTCTGTATTCCAGCCTGGGTGATAGAGTGCGACTCTGGAGAGAGATGTGGCGGGGCAGGGAAAGAGTAGCTGGAGCATCTGAATTCCCCGTTTATATACAAGAAAGTTATGACTTGCTGTGGTTTAAGAGGGTTTTGCAAAGGCCTGAGCTTTTGGGCTAGTACCCCACCAAGAAGGCCCTTGTTGCATGATGGGTGGTAGGAGCTAGGGTGGGGCTGGAAGGTCAGGCCAGAGCTGGATTTCCTACCCCAACAACTGTCTAGTGGAGATGACAGGGATGTCTGCCACCTAGAGGGCCCTCTCCACATTCCCTAGTCCTTTAAGCCATAGACCTTTTGGAATCTGTGAGGAATGGAGAAAATGGGCTGCAAATGGACATGTGATTTAAGCATTAATGTGTTGAGTTGTTAGTAACGGTGTCTGTAAAGATGTGAAAAGTGGTGAAACATCATTAAGGGATGTCTTAACTGCTATATGGGTAGGGAGACTTAATATTTAGGATGGAGGCAATGATTGGAGGAGCAGTTTCATATTAATTCACTGAGATGCCATTTCTCAATAATCAGTTAAAATAGCTTGGAGGTTTAGAAAGGAATTGACTAGCCAAAGCAGTCCTAAGTAAGGTTTAGCACTGATATGTTTATTTAACAGTTTTTAAAAACTGAAATATAATACACATACAGGAAAGTACATGCTGTATCATAGGCGAAGAGCTCCAACTTTCCCAAACTGAACACAACCATGTAACCAGCTCTCAGACCTAAATAGACTGCTGACTTTTAATGTAGGACCAAAGAATTGTATAGTTGTAGCCTGATGTTAGATTTTTTTTTTTTTTTTCTGAGATGGAGTTTCACTCTTGTTTCCCAGGCTGGAGTGCAATGGCGGGATCTTGGCTCACCGCAACCTCTGCCCGGGTTCAAGTGAGTCTCCTGCCTCAGCCTCCTGAGTAGCTGGTATTACAGGCATGTGCCACCACCCCTGGCTAATTTTGTATTTTTAGTAGAGACGGGGTTTCTCCATATTGGTCAGGCTGGTCTTGAACTCCTGGCCTCAGGTGATCCGCCTGCCTCGGCCTCCCAAAGTGCTGGGATTACAGGCGTGAGCCACTGCACCTGGCCTGGATTTTTTTTTTTTTTTTAAGAGACATGGTGTCACTGTGTTGCCCAGGCTGGTCTCAGACTCCTGGCCTCAAGCCATCCTCCTGCCTCAGCCTCCCAAGTTGCTGGGATTACTGGCATGACTAATGTTGAATTTTTGACTGAGATGGTTTCACTTCTTATTGTACTGGATCATAAACCGTATCGTCACTAAATTGTCTGAAAAGCTATTCCAAAACAAAGTTTAATACATTCAGTCCCATCTTGCAGGAAATGATTGAAATTACTCTCATGAAGTCTTGTTTCCCACAAAATAAACTTTTATGGAACCTTACTGTGTGGCTGTAACAGTTAAGTGGCAACGATTTAACTTGTGTTGTTGAAGTTAACTTACAGAAAAGTATGAGTGTACTATTCACTGAATTTTTATATACTGAACACATCTTGTATAACTAGTCACATGTAGAGGCAAAAATTAAGAATACACCAAAATTCCCCTTGCAGTCCTTTCAGTCTCTAGTTTACAAAGGGCACTTGTTATGCTAAATTTTTATTTTTCTGAGATGGGGTATCACTGTCACCCAGGCTGCAGCACAGTTGTATGATCATAGCTCACTGCAGCCTTGAACTCCTGGGCTCAAGTGATCCTCTTGCCTCAGCCTTCTGAGTAGATGGGACTGCAATCATGCGCCACCATGCCCAACTAATTTTTTTTTTTAAGTTTTTGTAGAGACAGAATCTTGCTGTGTTGACCAGGCTGGTCTTGGACTCTTGGGCTTAAGCAAATTCCTTGCCTTGGCTTCCGAAAGTGTTGGGATTATAGGCATGAGCCACCACACCCAGTTCATGCTGACTTTTAATTGCATAGATAAATTGTACCTGATTTTGAATTTACATAAATGGAATCACAGATATGTACACTTTTTTTTTCTTTTTGAGACAGAGTCTTGCTCTGTCGCCCAGACTACAGTGCAGTGGTGTGATCTTGGCTCCCTGCATCCTCCGCCTCCCAGGTTCAAGGGATTCTTCTCCCTCAGCCTCCCAAGTAGCTGGGACTACAGGCACATGCCACCACACCCGGCTAATTTTTGTATTTTTAGTAGAGACATAGTAGAGACATACTGGCCATATTCACCATATTGGCAAGGCTGGTCTCAAACTCCTGACCTCGTGATCCGCCTGCCTTGGCTTCCCAAAGTGCTGAGATTATAGGGGTGAGCAACCACACCCGGCCCAGATATGTACTCTTTAGCTGTGAGTTTCATCCATGTTGCAACTGGTTGTGGGTCATTGATTCCTGTTGCTTTACAGTATTCCATTGTATGAATGTACCAGTGCTTATTCATTATACTGTTAATAGGCATTTGAGTTGTTTCCAGTTTGGGGCCATTGCGAATAGTGCTGCTATTATCTTTTGGTGAATTAATTTCCCTTGGTTATCTTCCTAGGAGAGGGATTGTTGGGTCATAGGGTATACGTATGTTTATCTTTGAGATGCTGCCAGTTTTTCTCAGTGGTTATACCAGTTTACACTTCCAGTGGTGTACGATGGTTTGGGTTGTTTCATATCCTCATCAATAATTGTATTGTCTTTCATTTTAGCCATTTTGGGGTGTATGTAGCAGTATCTGTTGTGGTTTTAATGTTCATGTCCTTAGTGACTGATGAAGTTGAGCACATTTTCATGTTTACTGGCCTTTGGATATCCTTTTTCTTGAAGTGTCTCTTCAGGCCTTATACTCATTTTTCTTAGGGTTATCTACCTTTTTCTTGTTTACTTGTAGCAGTTCTTTATATAGGCCACATATGAGTTCTTTGTCTGAAATATGTATTAAAATTATTTTCTTTGAGTCTGTGATTTGTCTTTGTACTCTTAATTGGCGTCTTTTGAATAACAGAAAACTTAAATTGTAATGAAGTATAATTTACTGACTTTATTCCATTGTGTTTAATGCTTGTGGCCTGTTTAAGAAATATTTGCCTATTCCAAGGTCATGAAGGTAGTATATGTTTCTTTTCTAAAGTTGTTTTACCTTTCACACTTAGATTTGCAACCCATCTGGAATTTTGTTTTGTACATGGTATAAGAAGGGGAAGATTAATTTTGTTCTGTGTGGATAGCCAGTTGACTCAGCATCATTTTGGTGAAAGAAAATTCTTTTAAATTGTATTGCCATGTTGCCTTTCTCATAAATCAGGCATCCATAGTATATGTACAGATCCGTTTCTGGATACTCTCTTCTCTTCCATTGATCTATTTATCTGTCCTTGTGTCTTAATTATTGTAGCTTTATAATAGGCTTTGATAGTTGGTAGTGAAGTCCTTCAACTTTGTCTTTTTGGATTCTTGGCTTTTCTTGGATCTTCACATTTCTATATAAATTATAGATTCAGCTCATCAGTCCAAGCTCCACCCCCTGCCCCACATACACAAAGTTCTACTGGGATTTTGATTGGGATTGCGTTGAACCTATGAATCAAGTTCTGGATAATGGATATGTTGACAAGTCTTCCAATTCAAGAAGTTGATATATCCCTTTGCTTATCTGGTCTTTAAAAATTTTCTTAGTGTTTGTAGATGTCTTGCAGATTCTTTAAGTTTATCTCTAGGTTTTGATGGTATTTAATGCTATTGTAAAGGAGTTTTTTGTTTGTTTGTTTTTTAGTGCCATTTTCTGTTTGTTTGCTGCTGTGACAGCCCTATCTAGTGTTGGCTCCAGAAGTAGATATTTCAGGTTTTGGACATTTGAGTCCTTCTTATGTGCAAATTGTTTGAGGTAACCTGTCTCCCAAATAGTCTATAGTTTTGAGATGTGAGTTTTATTGCTTTTGTTCATCTGTGAGTTTTAGAGGATATATGGAGAGATTTGGATCTAGGCAACTGCCAGTTTGCTATAGGAACCAGGAAGTCTGATTTTGCTGATCTTGTTTGAAGAATATACATATTCTGTCTCATATATACATACATACGTATTGTGCATTTGTCAAAGTGTATATGAGAGAGAATATACATATGTGTATTTATGTGTGTTTTCAATATATATGTTGACAAAATATACACAAAAAGTGTTTTTGCCTCTTAGAATGTCTAAAATTGAGAAGACTGACCTTACCAAGAATTGGCAGGGATGTTGAATAACTGAAACTGTCAAACTGCTGGTAGGAATGCAAAATGGTACAACTATTTGGAAAACAGTTTGGCAGGTTCCTAAAAGGTTAAATGTTTACCTACCATAAGACCCAGTGGTTCCACTCTTTTTTTTTTTAATAAGCTTACATTTTAGAATAGCTTTCAATTAATAGAAAAGTTACAAAGAAGTTACAAAAGTTAATAAAATTAAAAACTTTACCTGTAATCCCAGCACTTTGGGAGGCCGAGGCGGGCGGATCACGAGGTCAGGAGATCGAGACCATCCCGGCTAAAACGGTGAAACCCCGTCTCTACTAAAAATACAAAAAATTAGCCGGGCGTAGTGGCGGGCGCCTGTAGTCCCAGCTACTTGGGAGGCTGAGGCAGGAGAATGGCGTGAACCCGAGAGGCGGAGCTTGCAGTGAGCCGAGATCCCGCCACTGCACTCCAGCCTGGGCGACAGAGCGAGACTCCGTCTCAAAAAAAAAAAAAAAAAAAAAAAAAAACTTTAATAGAATTAATAACAATTAATAGAAAAGTTACAAAGCTAGCATAGAGAATTCCTGTATATCCTGTACCTAATTTCCCCTATTTTGCTAACAACTTACATTATTATTGTGCATTTGTCACACCTAGTGAAGCAATATTGATACTGTAGTCTGTATTTTATTTGGATTTTCTTAGTTTTTACCTAATGTGCTTTTTCTGTACCAGGATCCCACCCAGGATATCACATTATTCATCATGTGGGCTCCTCCAGACTGTGGCAGTTTCTCAGACTTCCCTTATTTTCGATTATGTTGACAGTTTTGAGTAGTGTTGGTCACACTCAAGAGAAATGAAACCATTTACCGTATACAAACTTAACACAAATGTTCATAGCCTCTTTATATATAATAGCCAAAACCTGGAAACAACCCAGATGTCCATCAATAGATGAATGGATAAACAAATGCAAAGGAGTACTGC
The DNA here is from genome assembly GCF_000001405.40 of Homo sapiens. NCBI lineage: Eukaryota > Metazoa > Chordata > Mammalia > Primates > Hominidae > Homo > Homo sapiens. The sequence goes on along the minus strand of NT_187606.1, from coordinate 406,367 downwards.
TCAGCAGTAAAGAGGAATAAACTATTGTTGCTACTACAACATGGATGAATTTCAGGATAATTATGTTCAGTGAAAGAAGCCAGACAAAAGAGTATATACCACATAATTCTGTTGGCACAGAATTCTATCAAATGCCAACTAACCTCCAGTGACAGCAGGGAGATCGGTGGTTGCCTGGGCAAGAGGACTCAGAGGTAGGTAGGAAAGGATTTCAAAAGGGTATTAAACTTTTGGGGCAGAACTTGACGATAAGTGGTCAAATAATGAAATAAATAAACTTTTGGGGAAGATGGATATGTTTATTACCTTGACTTTTGGTGATGGTTTCGTGGGTATGTATACATAGGTTGAAACATATCAAATTCTACACTTTGAATACATGCAGTTTATATGTCAGTTATGTCTCAAAGCTGTTAACCTTTGTAAACATAGTTATCTCTGAATGGTAGGATTTAAATGCATATATTTGCTTTTATAGGGTTTTTTGCTTTTAAAAATTTTAACCAGCCTGGCCAACATGGTGAAACCCTGTCTCTACTAAAAATACAAAAATTAGCCAGGCGTGGTGCCATGCACCTGTAATCCCAGCTACTTGGGAGGCTGAGGCAGGATAATCACTTGAACCCGGGAGGTGGAGGCTGCAGTGAGCTGAGATCATGCCACTGCACTCCAGTCTGGGCGATGACAAGAACGAAACTCCGTCTCAAAAAAAAAAAAAAAAAAATTTAAAAAGAGGAATGTAAAATAATGTATTTACCACCGATCTTTAACAAATGTTAAGATTTTGATATGTTTGATTCAGACCTTTATTCAGACAATATAAACATCAAATAAAAGTTTTGCACTTAAGTGTACTCTTTTCCTCATTTTCCTAGAGATAACTCTCCTGAAGTTGGTATATTTCCTTCCCATCCGTGTTTTTATACTTCTCTGTGTATGTCCATAAACATCGTTTTACATTTTTATGTAAATAAAACATACACTGAGGAAAATGCACAGTTTAAAGTATATAACTGGGTAAATTGTCACAAAACAAATACACTCATGCTCTCAAGCTCAAATCAAGAAATAGAATGATATAAGCAACTAAGAAGACCCCTCATGCCGCCTCCTGATTGTCATATGTTTTAAATCTTTATGCAAAGAATATGACATTATCTTCCTGGCATTTGCTTTTCTCCATGTGTCATATTTATAATGTGTACATATTGATAGTTATTTGTAAGTAAAATCAATACATTTTAATTGCTTTGTAGTAATATTTTACATAAATATATACAATATTCCTCTTGGTAAATGTTTAGGTGTATATTTTTTGCTGTATTTAGGTAAATATATATTTTTTGCTATTATAAACAGTATTTTGGTGAACATCCTTGTTTAAGTCTCCTGTGCCCACATCACAAGAGCTTCCTTGAGTATGTACCTAGAAGTTAATTGCAGAGTTTGGTATATTGTCTTCACACTTCAAGTTGCTGGGTACTTTTTCAAAGTGCATTTACCAGTTTATAATCCTGCTAGGATTTCATGAGTTTTCAGTCACATTCCATGTAGACTCTAGATGTTGTCATACTTCAAAATTCCAGTTGATATAGCTGTAAATCCAACTTGATTTTGTTTTCTTTATATTATAAAATATTTTCTGAAGTTAAAATAATACGTGTAGCATATATGATCTGGCATCAACCCAGAGTAAGTTTCTAGAATTGTGTCCCAGGGTTCTTTCCCTTTATGCCATTCTGTCTGCTGTTTCTTGACATTCCATGCATATTATATAATTAAAATCACTGACAGATGAAGTTGTGCAATGAATGCTCTTCTGCTACATAGTTGACAACTAAATTGACTGTCTTCCTAGAAAAAATTATTTTATTCAAAGTTGGCTTGGTTGTCACTTCAGAAACTTTATAACACTGTCCTGCCTCCAATGTTCTGTAGTCTGTCAATCTGTGAGATGAAGCAAGGTCCTTCTTGGCTCTTCGTGTTTATTTGTGGATCCATCATGTGGTGGTGTAAACATATACATTCTTAAAATGGGAGGATAGGGTACAGTTTTGAAAAAACATTGTCCGTTTCATAATAAACCCAAACAAAGATAGGGTACAGGCTCTGAATGCAGATGACCTGAGAACAAATTCTGGTCGTGCTACTTACTTGCTGTGACCTTGGCTTACACTCTGAGTTTAAATTTCCTCTTTAGACACATAGGTAGAAATAGTACCCATTTGTAGGGGTTTTGTGAAGCTTAAATAAGATTTGTATTGAATACTATCTACAATGATGCACATAACTGCACTTACTAAATGGTGATAGTGATTGTGATAGTGTGGGTATATAAAGATGCAGTTGTGAGAGCGTTGGCTGAGGTCATATATATATATACACACACACACACACACACACACACACACACTTATATTTTAAAGAGTTGAACTAGGTTTTCTGTTTATACTGTAAGTCTCTTGAAGAATGTGTAAGGACTAGGTCTTAAATATCCTTGGGTTTCGTTTCGTTTCTTTCTTTCTTTTTTTTAAAGATCTTTTGAAATCCTTGGATTTCTAATCCTCAGTATTGGGCCTGGTGCATGTTAGGTAACATTATACAATTGCTTAATGAATACATTCTCTCAAACTGGGTGCCTAAGCTGAAAAAGGCCCTCATTTTGTGTTCAAATTGTACTCCCCCCCACATTTGGTACTGATAATATCTAGGAATTTACTTGCAGTTTTGTGTGTATGTATGTGTTCACAATCAGTATTTATTTAGACTTCAGTAATTTTTAGTGATTACTTAGATTATCATTGTGTTTTGTTTAATTCTTGGACTAGTTTGATGGACTTTTCCAAATTGTTAAACATAGAATATATGGAAACTTGCATAAAACACCTGTATATTTTAATCAGTTATACAGCAGACACCCACATAACCACTACCCAGGTCAAGAAATAGAATATTACAGCTGGGTGCAGTGGCTCGTGCCTGTAATCCCAGCACTTTGGGAGGTTAAGGTGAGAGGGTCACTTGAGCCCAGGAGTTCGAGGCTTCAGTGAGCTGTGATAATGCTGCTGCACTCCAGCCTGGGAGCAAGACCCATATTTTTATGTGGTTAGGAGTGACGAAGAGGACGCTGGGAGCCTCCCGAGGAGGCCAGTCCCTTTCCAGCAGCCCCTGGGGCCGTCCCAGGGTAGGGAGTCTTAGAGCCCCAGGGTCCCACCCAGGGTGTGTGTCTCTCTCCCGGTGGGCTTCCCCAGGCATCAGCAAGGCCACTGCTTGGCGGAGGCTTGCCGGCAGGGACTCAGAAGCAGCGAGGCTGAAGAGGATCCTGGGAGCCTCCCAAGGAGGCCAGTCCCTTCCTGGCAGCCTCCCGGGCTGTCCCAGGGGGGCATTGAGGGGGGAGCGGGGCGGGGTGGTAGAGTTCCAGGCTCCCATCCAGGGTGAGTGTCTCTCTCCCCGGGGGGAGCTTGTTTCCAGTCTTAGGGGAGGGGTTGTGAGTGAACTTCTTAGCATTTCTCCTTTAAATATGCTGAAGTTGTGAATGTTTTTTATCTGATTAAGAAAGTTCTTTTCAGACTTTGCCAAGAGGCTTTTAAAAAAAGAAAATCTGCAGGATGCAGTGGCTCATGTCTATAATCCCAGCACTTGGGGAGGTTGAGGTGGTTAGAGACCAGCCTGGGCAATGTAGTGAAACCCCATCTGTACAAAAGTATGAAAAGCCGGGTGTGGTGGCACGTACCTGTAGTCCCAGTTACTTGGGGCTGAGGTGGGAGGATCGCTTGAGCTCAGGAGGTGGAGATTGCAGTGAGCCAAGATCGTGCCGCTGCACTCCAGCCTGGGTGACACAGCCAGACACTGTCTCCAAAAAAACAAAACAAAACAAAAAAACCCCCAAGAAAACAAACATAAAATCATGAATGTTATTAAATTATATCAGCTTTTCTGCATCTATTCATTTAACCTTTCTCCTTTATTCTATAGATGTAGGAATAACATTCAGGAAAGAATACCAAAGTAAAGCCAACTTCGCATTCCTGGAATTAACTCAAGTTGTTCATAATATATTTTATTTAGTATATTGTTTGGATTTCATTTGTAAATGTTGTCTTCAGGATTTTTGTATTCATGCACATAAGAGATAAGCTTGTAATTTTCTTTCCTTAAAATATCCCTGGTGTCAGAGTCGTTAGCTTCTTGAAGCAAATCATTAGCTTCTTGAAAAGTTTTTTTTTTTCCTCGCTGTTCTTGAGAAGAGCTTGTGTGAAATTTATAATAGTCTTCCTTAAATTTTGATATAATTCATTGCTGAAGCCACTTGGGCCTGGAGTGTGTTTTTGTTTGTTTTTGTTTTTTTGAGGAACAGTTTTTAAAATGTGGATTCAGTTTTTTGTTTGTTTGTTTTGTTTGTTTGTTTGTTTGTTTGTTCTTTTTTTTGAGACAGAGTCTCACTATGTTGCCCAGGCTGGAGTGCAGTGGTGCAGTCTTGGCTTACTGCAACCTCCGCCCCCCAGGTTCAAGCGATTCTCCTGCCTCAGCCTCCTGAGTAGCTGGGATTACAGGCGCCTGCCACCTGCCCAGCTAATTTTTGTATTTTTAATAGAGATGGGGTTTCACCATCTTGGCCAGGCTGATCTTGAACTTCTGACCTCATGACCCACCCGCCTTGGACTCCCAAAGTGCTGGGATTACAGGTGTGAGCCACCTTGCCTGACCCAGTTTTTAAAATACAATTATTCAAATTTCTGTGTTTTTTTTTTTGTTTTTTTTTTTTTGGACAGACTCTCGCTCTGTTACCCAGGCTGGAATGCAATAGTGTGATCTCAGCTCACTACAACCTCTGCCTCCCGGGCTCAAGCGATTCTCCTGCCTCAGCCTCCCAAGTAGCTGGGACTACAGGGGTGCTCCACCATGGCTGGCTAATTTTTGTATTTTTAGTAGAGATGGGGTTTCACCATGTTAGGCAGGCTGGTCTCGAACTCCTGACCTCAGGCAATCCACCCGCCTCAGCTTTCCAAAGTGCTGGGATTATAGGCATGAGCCACCGCACCTGGCTCAAATTTCTATTCCGTCTTCTAAGTTTTGCTAAGTTGTGTTTTTCTAGGAATTTCTCTGTTTCATTTAAATTTTCAAATTCATTGGCATAAATGTTTATGTAAAAGCTTCTTCTGATGTTTTAGAATTTCCAGTTTTTATTTTATCTTATTTTTTTGTATTTTTTTTTAGTGGAGACAGGGTTTCACCGTGTTAGCCAGGATGGTCTCGATCTCCTGACCTCATGATCTGCCCACCTCGGCTTCCCAAAGTGCTGGGATTACAAAATTTCCAGTATTTCTTAACATTACGTTTGCTTTTTTTTGTCTGTGTTACTAATCTTTTTTTTAAAATAAACTTTTGGCTTTGATCCCTCCCTCCCCCGATTCTGTTATACATTTCTTTTATGTGTCATTTATTTTTTTTCCTATTGTTTTCTTTGGGTTTGATTTACTGTGTGTTTTTTTTAAACTTATTGAGATGAAAATTATTAGATCATCGTGTTTTTGTTTTTTGGGGTTTTCTTTTTTTTGAGACGTGATTTCTTGGGCTCAAGTGATCTTCCTGCCTCAGCCTCTTGAGTATCAGGGACTGCAGGTGTGTGCCACCGTGGCTGCTGGCTAATTTTTATTTTTATTTTTTTGTAGAGATGGGGTCTTGCTATGTTGGCCAGGCTGGTCTTGAACTCCTGGTCTCAAAGGGTCCTCCTGCCTCAGCCTCCCAAAGCGTTGAGATTATAAGCATGAGCCACTGTGCCTGGCCTACTATTGCCATCTTAACAATATTAAGTCTTCTAATGCATGAATTGGGGATTTTTTTTGTTTTAATTTATTTCAGTGATTTCTTACAGTTTTCAGTGTCCAAGTCTTGCAATTTATTCATAAGTATATTTATTTTTCATGCTATTGTAAGTCAAACTGTTAATTTTATTTTCAGATTGTTCATTGCTAGTGTATAGAAATAGAGCTGGTTTTTGTACATGGATTTTTGTGTGTGTGATTTCTTAGGATTTTTTACATCTAAGATCATGCCTTCTGGGTGTATCATCTATAAAGATAGTTTTACTTTTTTTTCCATCTAGATGCCTTTTGTTTCATTTTCCTTCCTAATTGTGCTGGCTAAAATCTTCAGTACAGTTTTGAATAGAAGTGAAGAGAGCAGACTTCATTCACCATTAAATATGATGTTAGATGTGGGTGTTTTTGTAGGAGCCCTTTATCAAGTTGAGGATTTTTTTTTCTTTTTTTCTTTTTTTTTTTTTTTTTTTTTTTTTTTTTTTGAGACTGGAGTCTCACTCTGTCCCCAAGGCTGAAGTGCAGTGGCGTGATCTTGGCTCACTACAACCTCTGCCTCCCGGGTTCAAGCAATTCTCCTGCCTCAGCCTCCAGAGTAGCTGGGATTACAGGTGTGCGCCACCATGCCAGGCTAATTTTTGTATTTTTAGTAGAGATGGGATTTCATGATGTTGGTCAGCCTGGACTCCAACTCCTGACCTCAGGTGATCCACCGGCCTTGGCCTCCCAAAGTGCTGGGATTACAGGCGTGAGTGACCGGGCCCGGCCTGAGGATGTTTTTTTCTATTCCTAGTTTATTGAATATTTTTATCATGAAAGGGTATTGGATTTTCATCAAATACTTGTCTGTGTCCATTGAGATGATCATGTGATTTTTTTTTACTTTTGTTCTATTAATATTATATTTTATTGATTTTTTTTCTTATAATGAACCAACCTTGTCTTCTTAGGATAAACCCCATTTGGTCATAGTGTGTAATCCATCTTAGATGCCACTGCATTTAGATTAATAAACAGATAGGTCTATGATTTTGTTTTCTTGTGGTCTCTGCCTGATTTTGGTATCAGGGAAATACTTGCTTCATGACTGAGTTGTAAAGTGTTCCCTCCTCGTCTGCTTTTTGGAAAAGTACATGTGAATAATTGGTATTTATTCTTTTTTAGGTTTTTGGTAGAATTCACCAGCGAAGCTTTCTTGTCTTGGACTATTCTCTGGGAAGTTTGTTGATGACTAATACAGGCTTTTTGTTCATTAAAAGCGTATGCAGATTGTCTGTTTCTTTGAGTTAGTTTTGGTAATTTCTGGCTGTAGAATTTATTTCACCTATGTTTTCTAATTTGCAGGCATATAATTATTCATAGTAATTTTTTTTTTTTTTTTTTGCCACGGAGGTTTGCTCTTGTTGCCTAGGCTGGAGTGCAGTGGGGTGATCTCGGCTCACCGCAACCTCCACCTCCCAGGTTCAAGCGATTCTCCCGCCTCAGCCTCCCAAGTAGCTGATATTACAGGCATGCGCCACCATGCCTGGCTAATTTTGTATTTTTAGTAGAGACGGAGTTTTTCTATGTTGATTGGGCTGATCTCAAACTCCCAACCTCAGGTGATCCACCCACTTCAGCCTCCCAAAGTGCTGGGATTACAGGCATGAGCCATTGCAGCCAGCCCATAGTAATTTATATTCTTTTTTACTTTCTGTAAGGTTGGTAGTATTGTACCCACTTTCATTTCTTCTTGGTTAATCTAGCTCAAGGTTTATCAGTTTTGCAGATGTTTTTCAAAGAACCAACTTCTGTTTTTTTTTTTTATAGTTTTTCTAGACATTATTTCGACTTTAATCTTTGTTGCTTCCTCTACTTGCTTTGTGTTTATTTTTTCTAGTTTCTTTAGGTAGAATGTTAGGTTATTGATATTTAATTACTATTGTTATTATTTTTTTTTTTCTGAGACAGGCTCTCGCTCTGTTGCCCAGGCTGGAGTGCAGTGGCGTGATCACAGCTCACTGCAGCCGCGACCTCCCAGGCTCAAACAATCCTCCCACCTCAGCCTCTTGAGCAGCTGGGACTACAGTTGTGCACCACCATGCCTAGCTAATTTATATTTTTTTTGTAGAGGCAGGGTCTCTCACTATGTTGCCTGGGCTGTCTCAAACTCCTGGGCTCAAGTGATCCTCCTACCTCAGCCTCCTAAAGTTCTGGGATTACAGGTGTGAGCTACGACATTCAGCATAATCTTTAACATAGGATTTTACAACTTTCCAAGTATTATTTTCATTGCATGCCGTAAGTTTTAGTATGGTGTGTTTCTTTATCTCAAAGTATTTTCTCATTGCCCTGTGATTTCTTCTTCGATCCATTGATGAAGAGTATGTTGTTTAATTTCCACGTTTTGAGAATTTTCCAGTTTTCCTTCTGTTACTGACTTCTAATTCTGTTCTTTTGTGGTTGCAGAATGTACTTTGTATGATTTCAGCCATTTCACATTTATTGAGACTTCATGGCCTAACTAACATATGGTCTGTCCTGGAGAATATTTCATATACACTTAAGATTGTGTATTCTTCTTTTGTAGATTGAAATATCTTGTGTCTGTTCTAGTTGTTTTATAGTGTTCAAGTATACAGTTTCCTTCCTGATACTGTCATCTTGTTCTATACATTAAATAAATAAATGAAAATAAAATCAATGATCAGGGTAATATTAGTGAAATGGCAGAATAAGGACCTCTGAAATTCTTCCTACATAAAAACCAATGAGAACACTAGCAAAAAATTGTCACAATAAACTTTGTCAGAACTCTGGAAATTAAACCAAAAGCTTGCAGAAATCTGGGGAGTATTTGTTTAAAAACTAAAAACAAGATAGCTGAATCTTGGTAAGAACAACATTCTTTGTGGCCTTTTAATTTGTATTATTTTCATACCTTCCTCCCTAGCTCTACTACAACCCTGAAAACCAGCAACCTGCATCACAGCAAAAATTAGCAGCCTGGAAGCCACTGAAAGGACAAAACAGTTGGAGCTCAAGCCCCATCCTCAACGAATTGTCATTACTTGACCTTTTACATGGTTACACACAAGGCCCCACTTATGTGGTTGTATTTGACCTACCTCCGAGCTCACCAAGTACAGCCAGCCATTTCCCATTTCCCAGGGAAAGTTTGTTTAAAAAAAAAAATCAGAGGCAATTATTAAATATCCCAGGTGCCTGAGGCATTAGGCAACAGTTTAGGAACTCAACAGGCTAACCAAAAAAGCTTAAAAGGCTGGGGAATGAAATATGAGGCTTTATAAAAAACTCAATATATTCCTGGGAATCTAGGCTAACCTGCATGCTTGAAAGAAAGCATTAGATTAGAAGGCCCTAAGCTCTCTCTCCTGGTTAACCTTGAGGCTCTGTACAAACAAGAAGTGAAGAATACTGCAGAGTTGTAAACTGTCTGGCTCAGTGTGGAGGGCATACTGGGCCCCTTGTCAAAGACTGGGAAACTTACTGGTTCTAAGCATGTAAGGCAGTTTCTGTCCATCATTGCTGAAAGTGAGCTATTGATGTTTCCAGCAATAGTGTTACTGTTGAAGTATCTGTTTCTCCTATCATTTCTGTCAGTTTTTGTTGCATATATTTTGGTGGTCTGTGTTAGGTTCATTGGTGTTTATAATTGTTAAATTTTTTTTGATAGATTAACCCTTTTATTATAAAATGTCCTCCTTTATCTCTAGTAACAATTTTTGTCTTAATGTCTGTTTTGTCTGGTAATAGGCACAGTTATTCTACCTCTCATTTGGTTATTATTTGCAGGGTATACTTTTTTCCATCCTTTCAACCTATTTGTGTCTTTTGTGTCTTTGTTTTTTTCCTTGAGACTTGAGTCTCGCTCTGTCATCCAGGCTGGAGTGCAGTGGTGTGATCTTGGCTCACTGCAACTTCTGCTTCCCAGTTCAAGCAATTCTCCTGTCTCAGCCTCCCGAGTAGCTGAGACTACAGGCACACACCACCACACCTGGGTAATTTTTGTATTTTTAGTAGAGACGGGGTTTCACCATGTTGGCCAGGCTGGTCTCGAACTCCTGACCTCAGGTGATCCACCTGCCTCAGCCTCCCAAAATGCTGGGATTACAGGCGTGAGCCACCGTGCCCAGCCCTATTTGTGTCTTTGAGTCTTAAAGTGTATCTCCTGTTGTGCAGTATATATTTGGATCATGCTTTTAAAAAGTCCATTCTGTCAGTCTGTCATTTATTCAAGAGTTTGATCCATCTACATTTAATATAATTACTGATAAGATATACACCTGCCATTTTTCTGTTTGTTTTCCATATGTCTTGTGTCTTTTCCCCCTATTCTTCCATTACTGCTTTCTTTTGTGTTAAGATATTTTCTAGTATAAAATCCTATGACATTTTAATTTCCTTGTTTCTTTAATTTCCTTGTCTCTTTAATTTCCTTGTCATTCTTATATATATGTTTCTTGTTTTTTTTAAAGAGACAAAGTCTTGCTCTGTCACCCAGGCTGGTGTCAAACTCCTGGCCTTAAGTGATCTTCCCACCTTGGCTTCCCAAAGTGCTGGGATTGCAGGCATGAGCTACTATGCCTGGCCTCTTTTACTATGTATTTTTTTTTTTTTTTTTTTTGAGACGGAGTCTCGCTCTGTCGCCCAGGCTGGAGTGCAGTGGCGGGATCTCGGCTCACTGCAAGCTCCGCCTCCCGGGTTCACGCCATTCTCCTGCCTCAGCCTCCCAAGTAGCTGGGACTACAGGCGCCCGCCACTACGCCCGGCTAATTTTTTGTATTTTTAGTAGAGACGGGGTTTCACCATTTTAGCCGGGATGGTCTCGATCTCCTGACCTCGTGATCCGCCCGCCTCGGCCTCCCAAAGTGCTGGGATTACAGGCGTGAGCCACCGCGCCCGGCCTTACTATGTATTTTTAAGTTATTTTCTTAGCGCATGTGCTGAGAACTAGCTTTTTTTTTTTTTTTTTGAGACGGAGTATCCCTGTGTCACCCAGGTTGGAGTGCAGTGGTGCCATCTCGGGTCACTGTAACCCCTCAGCTCCTGGGTTCAAGCAGTTCTCCCTCAGCCTCCTGAGTAGCTGGGATACCAGGTACCCATCACCATGCCCGGCTAATTTTTTTGGTATTTTTAGTTAGAGACAAGGTTTCGCCATGTTGGCCAGGCTGGTCTCAAACCCCTGAACTCAAGTGATCCGCCTGCCTCGGCCTCCCAAAGTGCTGGGATTACAGGCGTGAGCCACCATGCCCAGCTGGAACTAGCATCTTAATTTATATTAACAATCTAGGTCAAATAATAACCAATTTTATTTTCAGTAGTATACAGAAACTTTGCACCAGTATCGCTTTATTTTCTCCTCCTCTTGTGCTGTTAATGTATTACAAATATGTCTTTTTTTTTGAGGTGGAGTTTTGCTGTTGTTGCCCAGGCTGGAGTACAATGGCGCGATCTCGCCTCACCACAACCTCTGCCTCCTGGGTTCAAGCGATTCTCCTCTCCCAGCCTCCCGGGTAACGGGGATTACAGACATGCGGCATCACACCTGGCTAATTTTGTATTTTTAGTAGAGACAGGGATTCTTCATGTTGGTCAGGCTGGTCTCGAACTCCCGACCTCAGGTGATCCGCCCACCTCAGCCTCCCAAAGTGCTAGGATTACAGGCATGAGCCACTGTGCCCGGCCACAAATAGGTGTTTATACATGGTGTGCCTATCAATACAGATTTATAATTAACTTTAGCTATCTTTTGTCTTCTTCCTAGCTTTAAGATATAATTGACAAATGAGAACTTTATGGTGTACAGTGTGATGTTCTGATATATGTATACGCTGTGAAATGATTAAAGCTAATATATTCATTACCTCACATACTTATATTTTTGTGGTGAGAACATCTAAAATCTCAGCAAGTACAACTATAGAATACATTGTATAGTTGTATACAACTATACAACTATAGTTACCGTCATTCTATACAATGGCTCTTCAGAACTTTTTTATCCTGGTCAAAACTTTGTACCCTTTTACCAATACCTTCTTATCCCGCCCCCATTTGGTTATCTTTTAAATCTGATAGGAGAAAAAAAAGACAAAAATATACTCTCTATTATATTTACCTATGTAGTTATCTTTTTTGGTCTTCTTTATTACTTCATGTGGATTAAAGTAACTGTCTAGCATTCTTTCACTTCACTGGGAAAGATGCTCTTTAGTATTTGTTGTAGGGGAGGTCTGCTAGTGACAAACTCCCTTTTTGTCTAGGAATGTCTTAATTTCTCCATTCTTGAAGGATCGTGTTGGTGATAAAAAATTCTTGGTTGAGTTTCTTCTTTTAACTCCCTCAGTATGTCATCCTACTGCCTTCTGGCTCCACAATTTCTGGTAAGAAATCAGCTATTAATGTTATTGAAAATCCCTTGTATGTCATATATGATGATTGCTTCTCTCTTGCAGTTTTGCCCTTTCTATGTCTCCGGCTTTTGACCATTTAATGTGTCTTGGTGTAGGTCTCTTTGAGCTTATCCTACTTGCAGTTCATTGGATTTTTTGAATATGTAGATTAATGTTTTTCATCAACGTTTTCTGCCATTATTTCTTCACATATTCTGTCTCTTTCCCTCATCTGCTTTGGGACTTCTAATATGTGTATCTTGGTATACTTGACTGTATCCCAGATGTCTCTGTGGCTCTGTAGTTTCTTGTCCTCAGACTGGATAATCTCCATGTCTGTATCTTCAGCCTTGCTGATTGTTTTTCTTTTTAAATCTGCTGTTGAGCCCCTGTAGTGAATTTTTCATTGCAGTTATTATACCTTTCAGCTCTAGAATTTCTAATTGGTTCTTTTTTATATGTAATTTCTGTCTCTTTAGTAATATTCTCTATTTGGTGAGACATTATTCTCATACTTTAGTTCCTTGGATATGGTTTCTTGTTTCTGTCTTTTTTTTTTTTTTTGAGATGGAGTCTTGCTCTGTCACCCAGGCTGGAGTGTAGTGGCGCGATCAATCTCGGCTCACTGCAAGCTCCGCCTCCTGGGTTCTCACCATTCTCCTGCATCAGCCTCCTGAGTAGCTGGGACTACAGGTGCCCACTACCATGCCCAGCTAATTTTTTGTATTTTAGTAGAGACAGGGTTTCACCCTGTTAGCCAGGATGCTCTCAATCTCCTGACCTTGTGATCCGCCTGCCTCGGCCTCCCAAAGTGCTGGGATTACAGGTGTGAGCCACTGCACCTGGCCCGTTGTTTTGTTTTTTGTAGCAATGGAGCCTTGCTATGTTGCCCAGGCTTGGCTTGAACTCCTGGCCTCAAGTGATCCTTCGTTCTGGGCCTCTCAAAGTGCTGGGATTACAGAGCCATTGTCCACAGCCAGATATGCTATCCTTTAGCTCTTCATACATATTGAAAATAGCTAGAGTCTTTGTCTAATACATGTAATGTCTGCCCTTTGTCAGGGACCATTTTTAGTGATTTTTTCCCCCATGAATGGGCCATACTTGTTTCTTTGAATGTCTTATAAATTTTGTCTTGAAAATTGGACATTGGAAATAATGTAGCAAGTCTGGAAATCGGGTTATCCGTCCTCCACAGGCTGAAGGGTTCTTGTTTGTTGTTGTTCATTTAGTGGCTCTTCTCAGCTAGTTCTGTAAACTTCGCATTTTTTAAATATGTGGCCACTGAAGTCTCTGCTTGGTTATCTTAGTAGTCGGCTAATGATGGACAGAAACTGCCTTACATGCTTAGAACCAGTAAGTTTCCCAGTCTTTGACAAGGGGCCCAGTATGCCCTCCACACTGAGCCAGACAGTTTACAACTCTGCAGTATTCTTGTATTCTTCACTTGCTGTTTGTACAGAGCCTCAAGGTTAACCAGGAGAGAGAGCTTAGGGCCTTCTAATGCTTTCTTTCAAGCATGCAGGTTAGCCTAGATTCCCAGGAATATATTGAGTTTTTTATAAAGCCTCATATTTCATTCCCCAGCCTTTTAAGCTTTTTTGGTTAGCCTGTTGAGTTCCTAAACTGTTGCCTAATGCCTCAGGCACCTGGGATATTTAATAATTGCCTCTGATTTTTTTTTTTTAAATAAACTTTCCCTGGGAAATGGGAAATGGCTGGCTGTACTTGGTGAGCTCGGAGGTAGGTCAAATACAACCACATAAGTGGGACCTTGTGTGTAACCATGTAAAAGGTCAAGTAATGACAATTCATTGAGGATGGGGCTTGAGCTCCAACTGTTTTGTCCTTTCAGTGGCTTCCAGGCTGCTAATTTTTGCTGTGATGCAGGTTGCTGGTTTTCAGGGTTGTAGTAGAGCTAGAGAGGAAGGTATGAAAATAATACAAATTAAAAGGCCACAAAGAATGTTGTTCTTACCAAGATTCAGCTATCTTGTTTTTATTTTTTAAACAAATACTCCCCAGATTTCTGCAAGCTTTTGGTTTAATTTCCAGAGTTCTGACAAAGTTTATTGTGACAATTTTTTGCTAGTGTTCTCATTGGTTTTTATGTAGGAAGAATTGTCAGAGGTCCTTATTCGCCATTTCACTAATATTACCCTGATCATTGATTTTATTTTATTTATTTTTATTTATTTAGTTTTTGAGATGAAGGGTTGCTCTGTCGCCCAGGCTGGAGTGCCATGCATGATCTCGGCTCACTGTAACCTCCGCCTCCCGGGTTCAAGCGATTCTTCTGTCTCAGCCTCCTGAGTAGCTGGGATTACAGGCACTTGCCACCATGCCCAGCTAATTTTTGTGTTTTTAGTAGAGACGGGTTTTCACCATGTTGGCCAGGCTGGTCTCAAACTCCTGACCTCAAGTGATCCATTCGCCTCGGCCTCCCAAAGTGCTGGGATTAGAGGTGTGAGCCACCGCGCCCGGCCGATTTTATATACATATATTTCTGGATGCAGGATCTTGCCCTGTCACTAAGGTAGTGGCACAATCATACCTTACTGTAACCTCAAACTCCTGGGCTCAAGTGATCCTCCCATCTGAGCCTCCCAAAGCACTTGTATAACAGGCATGAGTCACCATTCTTGGCCCATGGTTTTTAATCTTTTTAATACATTACCAAAGACTATAAATTTCCCGCTCAGCATGGATTTAAGTGCATTTTATGAGTTGTGAAGTCTTTTTAATTATCATTTAGTTGACTATTTTCTAATTTCCATTGGATGTCTTGTTGGTCCCTGAGGAAGTCTGTAGTACAGCTTTCAGGTATTTGGGACTTTCTAGTTGTCTTTTTGTTATGAATTTTTATCTTAATTCCACTATGGTCATAGAACATCCTCTAACATAATTTTAGTCTTCAAATTTGTTGAGGCTTGCTTTATAGTCTAACATATGCTCTACTTTGTTAAATGTTCTAGATATACTTATAAAGACAGTGTACTGAGCAGATGTTGGATGCAGTGTTCTGTTTATGTCTGTTAGGTCAAATTTACTAATTTGATGTTTCAGATTTTCTATATTCTTTTTTGCAGGGGGAATATATGCTTATTCTATCAATTACTAAGAGAAATGTGTTAAAATCTCTAGCTTTCGTTATCTCAATTATCTCTCCTTTTAGGGTTGTTGTTTGGCTTTATTGATTTTTGTATGCTTTTATTAAGTTTTAGAATTATATCTTCTTTGTAGATTGATCTCTCGATACTTATGAAATGCATTTCTTTCTCATGTTTTTGCCTTAAAGTTTACTTTGATACCTATTTGGTTACAACAGCATTTTTGGTGCTTGAATGGCATATCTTTTCTCATGTTTTTCAACCTGTCAATCAGTGACCTTATATTGTAAGACATGACCCTGGAAAGCAGCATATAGTTGGGATATTGGTTTTTAATCCATTCTGCAAATCTTTATTTATAGTTCTGAAATAGAAAAAAAATTTTTTTGTTGGGTGGAGGGGACAGGGTGTCACTCTGTTGCCCAGGCTGGAGTGCAGTGGCGTGATCTCAGGTCACTGCAACCTCCGCCTCCTGGTTTCAAGCGATTGTCCTGTCTCAGACTCCTGAGTAGCTGGGATTACAGGCGCCTGCCACCATGCCTGGCTAATTTTTGTATTTTTAGTAGAAACGGGGTTTAGTCATGTTGGCCTGGCTGGTCTTGGACTCCTGACCTCAGGTGATCCACCCGCCTTGGCCTCCCAAAGTGCTGGGATTACAGGCGTGAGCCACCGTGCCCAGTGTAAAAATCTTTTTTTTTTTAAGAAAACCACATTAGAAGTGACAAGTTGTACCCCCAAGCACGGTGACTCATGCCTGTAAACCCAGCACTTTGGGAGGTCGAGGTGGGGGCGGATCACCTGAGGCCAGGAGTTCGAGACCAGCCTGACCAACGTGACGAAACCCTGTCTCTACTAAAAAATACAAAAATTAGCTCGGTGTGGTGGCACGCACCTGTAATCCCAGCTACTCGGGAGGCTGAGGGTGGAGAATTGCTTGAACTCGGGAGGTGGAGGTTGCAGTGAGCGGAGGTTGCGCCACTGCACTCTAGCCTGGGCAATAGAGCAAAACTTTGTCTCCAAAAAAAAAAAAAAAAAAAAAAAGACAAGTTCTGGGTTCTTTAAAAAAGTAGTTTATGATGAGAGAGGATGAAGAACCCACCCAACCTCCCCCTGTCCAAACCCATGTCGTTTTGTTATGCTTAAACCTATCATCTTTACTGAGTCTTCTTTGTTCTTCACGTTCTATTCCTTTTTCTTTCTTCCATGGCCTCTTGGGCAAACATATATTTACTGATCTTTTTGTGGCTACACCTAGGGATTACAACATGTTATCATTGACTTACTAGCGTCTAAGAAATTAGTGCTTTCATCACGTCCTAGAAAATGCAAGGACCTTACAGAACTTGTTATCCTGTCCCCACTTCTTTTGTGCTGTTGCTGCTATACATTTCAATTGTGTGTATATTTGAACCCCAGAAGAAAGTATCTTATATAGTCATTGTTTACTTAGACTTAGATGTGTCCTCTTTTCATTGTTTTTTTTTTCTCTGAATTTCTCTTCCATGTGGGTTCACTTTCCTTCTGCTCAAGGAGCATATTTAATGTTAAAGATGAATATTTTTATTGTGAGTCTGCTGGCAGTGAATGATCTTTATCTTCCTTGAAAATCTCTTTCTCACGTTCATTTCTTAGGATGTATTTGGTGGTTACACAATTCTTGATTGGCATTTATCATTTCACTCTCCATATACTGAACATGTTCAGGCTTCAATGGTTTTCAAAAGTCGGTCACTCTCCTTTGAAACCTTTTTCTCTCTTTTGTTCCTTGTTTGTTTTAATTATCCCTTTGCTTTCTGATGTTTCACTCTTAGTTTAAATATGGTTATCTTTTTTCTTCCTTGGGAGTTCTTGGGTTTCTTGTATGTATAGACTGGTATCTTTCATTACTCAATTTACAACCATTATCTCCTCATATATTTCCTGTGCCTCATTTTTCTTTCTCTTCTTTTGGGACTCTGTAATTAAATATTTATTCTACTTTCTCATTCTATCTTTTGTGTCTTTGATATTTTCTACTTTTTTGTGTCTCCCTTATGTATTGTATACATTTTGGTTCTATATTCTAGTTCACTGCTTTTCCCCTATTGTACCTCATTTGGCTGTTAAACTCCATCTTTGAGGTTTTAAATTTTAGAGATCACAGCAGGAGATTTTGGGCCCTGGTTTTATTCTGGTTGTAGGTACTCTGGGGGGTCCCAGCTTAATGTGGATAGACTATCCTATTCATTTCCCTTCTTGGGTATGTTTTGAACATTGACTTCTTTTCCTTTGCTTCTTGGGGCCATAGAACCATCTTTGCTGAGATGGGCAAAGAGATTCCATCATAGACTAAAAATGACTTTTGTGTTCTGGTATTTTGCTTTTTTGAGGTGGGGAGAGGGTTTCCTGGTTTCCGCTTGTTGTTGTTTGTTTTTGTTTTAAAGAATTTGGACTAGTAGTTCTATCCTGTAAGATTTCAGATGCTTTTAAGATGATGTCCCTCTTTATTGTTAGCATTTTTTTTCAGGAAGAAGGTTAGTTTGAATAACTTTGCCAGCCTTTATTGGAGGTGGAACTCAAATAGTTTAAAATTCTGTTGTATTTCAATATTTCAGTATTTTAATTATCCTCTAGTACTAGTACCTATCGTGAAGGGTTGCTGTAAAGATTAGTGTGATGGTATGAGTGAAGAGCCTAGGAACGTGTCCAGTTGAGTAGTAGTGAGGAGTGTTTCCAATCTTCTTGTATTTTTCAACGTTTTTATTCTCCTGCATAATATTTTAAGAGAACTGCTTTTTCTTTCCACCTCATTATTAAGTTTTTCATTTGTGAACATTCTACCAATCAGACCATTTGTCAGCTTTATTTAATCAAATTTTAACTTCCAAGGTCTCCAATGGATCGTCTGGTATCTTTGGGGGAATTATTATTTATTTTAAAACTTTGTTCTCTTGGCTTTATTATCCTTCATTTCCTCAGATATAAGAGTTAAAATTTTTTTACTTTTAATTTTTATGGGTACACAGTAGGTGTATATATTTATGGGAAAGGTATAGGTTTTATGTTAAGGTTGCTGCCACATTGAATCTCTTGGTTTTCTGAAAATATTTGGTCAATATTGGTTGTAATTTGTATTTTTAAATGGCCTTTGGTTTTTTTGTTTGTTTTTGTTTTTCAGATGGAGTCTCGCTCTGTCACCCAGACTGGAGTGCAGTGGCATGATCTTGGGTCACTGTAACCTCCACCTCCTGGGTTCAAAAGATTCTCCTGCCTCAGCCTCCCAAGTAGTTGGGATTACGGGCACCCACCACCACGCCCAGCTAATTTTTGTGTTTTTAGTAGAGACAGGGTTTCACCATGTTGGTCAGGCTGGTCTCAAACTCCTGACCTCAGGCGATCCACCCACCTCCGCCTCCCAAAATACTGAGATTATAGGCGTGAACCACTGCGCCCAGCCTGTTTTGTTTTTTTGAGACAGAGTTTTGCTCTGTCACTCAGGCTGGAGTGGTGCAATCTCAGCTCACTGCAACCTCTGCGTCCCACGTTCAAGCGATTCTCCTGCTTCAGCCTCCCTAGTAGCTGGGATTACAGGTGTGCGCCACCATGCCCGGGTAATTTTTGTATTTTTAGTAGAGATGAGGTTTCACCATGTTGGCCAGGCTAGTTTTGAATTCCTGACCTCAGGTGATCCACCCACCTCAGGTGATCCACCCACCTCAGCCTCCCAAAGTACTAGGATTACAGGCGTGAGCCACCGCACCTAGCCTAAATGACATTTGTTTTTGAAATGCCTGAGAAATCTTGTGTGCAAATGCTGTGTAGGTTTATGCTAGCCTGCTCTCAGGATGGGAAATTACAAGGGAGAGATGTAATAGTAGCTAAACTTCTGGATATGTAGTCTCATCATGCCACCTGGATGTCATCAGGTTCCTGGTTCACAGGTGAAGTAGTAGAACCAGCCTGTCTGCTTCTACTGGGCTCCTCCAACTCAGTCATTGTCAATAGTCCTATAGGTAACTCCTTTTATACACCTCTCAAGCTTTGTAATATCTGGAGCAGCTCTCCTATTTTGTTAAGTCTTCTTTCAACATCTCCTCCTTCCACTTTGAATCCATCTGTCTTGCTGGTTTTTGTTTTTTGAGACAGGGTCTCATTCTTGTCATGCAGGCTGGAGTCGAGTGGTGTTGGAACAGGAATTAAAAGAAATTAAAAAATGTTAAGCAGAAACTCAGTTGTATGTAAGAAAACCCAATTCCCCCTGAAAAAGAGAAAGAGCTGGAGTTCTTTAAAAATTAACTGCCTGTTTTTCTGTGGCTAGTGAGCCTTGTCTCTCCTCCTTTCCCAAGCATTGTGAAGACCCTGTTTCTCTATCTGTGCAGCTGAAAGTTCACTAGACAGATAAACTCAAGCTGTAAAACATGTTTTTCCTTGGAAAGTAAGAAATGATTTAATGCATGTCTCAATTAATTAAATAACTGTCTTTGTTTCTCGCTTCTGTAATATGCTTCCCCCTGCACAGATCTCCCCTGCCCCACGAAATGCTTAAAAGGTAACTTAACTCTTTGTTCAGGGCTCAGTCCTTTGGATGTAAATCCAACTGGGCCGGTGCACCTAATTAATAAATATACTCCTAAACCCCATCAGTCTCTCTGATTCCTTAAGAAATCCTGCTACATTTTGATCACTGCTCATTGCAGCCTCGACCTTCCAGGCCCAATTGATCCTCCCACTTTAGTGTCCCAAGTAGCTGGGACTACAAGCATGTGCCACTACACCCTCTTAACTTTTTCATTTTTTTGTAGAGATAGGGTCTCCCTGTGTTGCCCAGTCTGAGCTTGAACTCCTGGGCTCAAGCGATCCCACCTGCCTCAGCCTCCAAAAGCACTGGGATTACAGGCGTGAGCCAACGTGCCCAGCCTATATTTCTTGTTTTTAGGATTCTTTGTGATTTTGGCACACCAAGGATATCCTTTTTTGTTTTCTAATATGGTTACAGATTCTTTAAAATTGGCATTTCAGCATTGGAGGATGAAGGGGAAGCTATAGCATGTATTCATCCTGGTATCTTAAGCCTGTCATGAGTATTTTTGCTTGTTGCTAGATTGTCTTCCATATTAATGACTTAAATATGTCAAGAGGATGTATCAAAACTACTTAACAGTTCATATCCTCTTCTTGCCATGTAAACAAAACTACATGCTTCTTGGGTATCTTCTTGCTATAAATAATACTGTAATGAACTTTTTTTTTTTTTTTTTTTTTGAGACAGAGTCTCCCTCTGTTGCCCAGGTTGGAGTGCAGTGGCATAATCTCTGCTCACTGTAACCTCTGCCTCCGGGGTTCAAGTGATTCTCATGCCTCAGCCTCCCGAGTAGCTGGGATTACAGGTGTGAGCCACCATGCCCAGCTAATTTTTTGTATTTTAGTAGAGACGGGGTTTTGCCATGTTGGAGTTTCAACTCCTGGCCTCAAGTGATCTGCCTGCCTCAGTCTCCCAAAGTGCTGGGATTACATGTGTGAGCTGCAGCGCCTGTCCTGTAATGAACATTTTAATGAACTTTTTAGTACATATGTTTTCCAAATTGGGCTTTTTTTTCTCAGATGGAAAGCTTATTAATACTTGCATTTGCAAGTTAAATCTTCTCATGTCAGAAGTTTATTTGCAAGTGAATTCGGTCAGAATATTATGCCATCAAGAGAATAAATCAGTTCAAGTTTCACCACATGCTTGTCTTAACTGCTTTATTTTTCGTGAGCTTTAGTAAAAATTAGACCTAATTGTGTTTTGAATCCTTTAGGAATAGCATTGTGATTCTGTGATTGTTAGGATTGTGATTATGTCTCAAGTTGCTTTTAGGCTAGGATTGCTTTCTTCATCTGCCCTCTGCTATAAATTTTTTGAGAAAAGTAGGTCATGTGTTCTATGGAATTATCTGCAGTACAGATTTTACTGACTGCATTCCCATGGCAGTACTTCACATGTCCCTCGGCCCCCTCTAGTTTCTGTTAATTGGTGATTATAGCTAGAGACTTGAGCAGACTTAGGTTTGACTTTCTTAGCAAGAATACTTAGTAGGTGATACTGAGTACTTCTTTTCTAGTGATATCATCAGGCATTGATGGTCACTACCTAGATACATTAGAGGTTGCCAAATAGCAGTTTTCTAATTCTCTGTTTTTCGTTTATTAGTTGATATGCTTTTTAAAAAATAAACTTAATTTCATGAACTATTTGGTAAACCAGAAGAGAACGTTTCTTCAAATAATCAAGCACAATTAAATGCTTATTTTACTTTACTTTCTTTCATAATATTGAGCTGATTGTCTAGCATTCTCCAAAGTTGACCAGTAAGTTGTTTTTTAGTATCATTGTGAACTCATAGATTTAATGTGTTTGATGTGTCTTGATCCATTGCAGTTACCCTTTTTTGTTTAGATGGTCCAATCTTTGAACAGTGGAGCCTCTTTACACCTGGTAGGATGCCTGTAGCAAAAAGGCAGTAACAATTGTTGATCAGGATGTAGAAAAAGTGAAACTCTTATACATTGCTAATGTGAAATGTTGCAGCTGTTTTGGAAAACAATTTGGCGGTTACTCAAGGTTAATCACCATGTGACCCAGAAATTCACTCCTTAAGAGAAATGAAAACGAATGTTCATACAAAAACTTATAGGTGGGCATTTGTAACAGTGTCGTTCATAATATCCCAAATGTGGAAACAATCCAAATGTCTATTAACTGGTGATGAATGGATGAACAGAATGTAGTACAGGCATACCTCATATTATTGTGCTTTATTTTATCACACCTCACAGATACAGCGTTTTATACAAATTGAAGGTTTGTGGTAATCCTGTGTTGAACAAGTCTGTTGGTGCCATTTTTCAAAAAGTATGTGCTTACTTCATGTTTCTGTGCCACATTCTGGTAATTCTTCCAATATTTCCAACTTATTTTACTGTTGCTTTGCTGCTATTGTAATTGTTTTGGCATGCCACAAACCATTCCCATGTAAGATGGTGAACTTAATTGATAAACTTTGTGTATGCTGTGACTGCTCCACCAGTCGGCCGTTCTCCTGTCTCTCTCCCACTTTCTTGGGCCTCCCTCTTTCCTGACACACAACAAAATTGAAATTAGGAAAATTAATAACCCTACAATGGCCTCTAAGTGTTCAAGTGAAGGGAAGAGTCACATGTGTCTCAGTTTACATCAAAAACTAGAAATGATGAAGCTTAGTGAGGAAGACATGTCGAAAGCTGTGGTAGGCCGAAAGTTAGGCCTCTTGTTCCAAATAGTCAAGCTGTGAATGCAAGGCACAAGTTCCTGCAGTAAACTAAAAGGGCTACTCAGGTAAGCACATGAATGATAAGAAAGCAAGACAGGCTTTTTGCTGATATGGGAAAGTTTGAGTAGTCGAGATAGAAGATCAGATCAGCCACAACATTCCCTTATGCCAAAACTTAATCCAGAGGAAGGCCCTAACACTCTTCTGAGAAGGCTGAGAGAGGTGAGGAAGCTGCACAAGAAAATTTGGAAGCTAGCAGAGGTTGGTTCATGAGGTTTTTCTTTTTCTTTTCTTTTCTTTTCTTTTTTTTTGGTTCATGAGGTTTAAGGGAAGAAGCTGTCTCCGTAACATAAATGTGCAAGATGAAGCAGCAAGTGCTGATGGAGAAGCTGCAGCAAGTTACCCAGAAGATCTAGCTAAGATCATTGGTAAGATGGCTACACTCAACAACAGATTCTCAATGTAGATGAAAACAGCCTTCTCTTGGAAGAAGATGCCATCTAGGACTTTCCTAGCTAGAGAGGAAAAGTCAGTTTCTGGCTTCAAAGCTTTGAAGAACAGGCTGATTCTCTTGTTACAGGCTAATGAAACTGGTAACTTTAA
Source organism: Homo sapiens (assembly GCF_000001405.40). Lineage (NCBI taxonomy): Eukaryota > Metazoa > Chordata > Mammalia > Primates > Hominidae > Homo > Homo sapiens. The sequence goes on along the minus strand of NT_187606.1, from coordinate 383,172 downwards.
AGTTGAGGCCAGTGCTTACCGACCATTCTGAAGATTCTAGGGCCCTTAAGAAACATGCTAAATCTACTCTGCCTGTGCTCTATAAATGGAACAATAAAGTCATGACAGCACATCTGTTTGCACTATGGCTAACTGAATGTTTAAAGCCCACTGTTGAGACTTACTGTACAGACAAGAAGGGATTCCTTTCATAATATTACTGCTCATTAACAATGCACTTGGTCACTCGAGCTTTGATGGAGATGTACAAGGAGATTAATGATTTCATGCCTGCTGACACAAGATCAGTTTTGCAGCCTATGGATCAAGGAGTAATTTTTACTTTCAAGTCTTATTATTTAAGAAATACATTTCATAAGGCTAGAGCTGCCATTGATAGTTATTCCTTTGATGGATCTGGGAAAACCTTCTGGAAAGGATTCATTATTCTAGATACTGTTAAGAACATTTGTGATGCATGGGAGGAGGTAAAAATATTAACATGAATAGGAATTTGGAAGAAGTTGATTCCAAACTTCATAGATGACTTTGAGGGGTTCTCACTGCTTCAGTGGAGGAAGTAACTACACACGTGGTGGAAATAGCAAGAGAAGTAGGATTAAAAGTGGAGCCTGAAGATGTGACTGAATTTGCTGCAATCTCATGATAAAACTTGGGATGAATTGCTTCTTACAGATGAATGGTTTATTGATAGAATCTACTCCTGGTGCAGATGCTGTGAACATTTTTGTTGAAGACAACAAAGGATTTAGAATTTCCACATAAAGTTAGTTGATAAAGCAGAGGCAGAGTTTGAGAGGATTGACTCCAATTTTGAAAGTTCTCCTATGGTAGGTAAAATGTTATCAAACAGCATCACATGATACAGAGAAATCTTTCATGAAAGGAAGAATCGAACTATGCGGCAAACATCATGGTTGTCTTAAGAAATTGCCGCAGTTAACCCAGCCTTCAGCAACCACCACCCTTATGTCAGCAGCCATGCACATTGAGGCAAGACCCCTCCACCAGCAATAAGATTATGACTCACTGAAGTCTCTGATAATTATTAAGTTTCTTTTTTCTTTTTTTGAGACGGAGTATCGCTCTGTTGTCCAGGATGGAGTGTAGCAGCGCAATCTTGGCTCACTGCAACCTCCGCCTCCCAGGTTCAGGTGATTCTCCTGCCTCAGCCTCCCGAGTAGCTGGGACCACAGGCATGTGCCACCATGCCCGGCTAATTTTTTTGTATTTTTAGTAGAGACAGGGTTTCACCATGTTAGCCCGGATGGTCTCGATCTCCTGACCTTGTAATCTGCCCACCTCGGCACTTTGGCCACCTTCCAAAGTGCTCGGATTACAGGCGTGAACCACCGCGCCCGGCCCAATTGTTAGGATTCTTTAGCAATGAAGTGTTTTAAAATTATGATATGTACTTCTTAAAAAGACATCAATGCTATTACACATTTAATAGACTATAATACAAAAATTAACTTTTTTTTTTTTTTTTTGAGACAATATCTGGCTCTGTCATCCAGGCTGGAGTGCAGTAGTGTAATCTTGGCTCACTGCAACCTCTGCCTCCCAGGCTCAAGCCATCCTTCCACCTCAAGCTCCTAGGTAGCTGGGATTACAGGCATGCCGTACCAGTCCCTGTATTTTTGGTAGAGATGGGGTTTCACCATGTAGCCTAGGCTGGTCTCAAACTCATGAGCTCAAGTGATCCGCCCATCTCTGCCTCCCAAAGTGCTAGGAATACAGGCGTGAGCCACCATGCCTGGCCTAAAAACAACTTCCATGTGCACTGGGAAACCAAAAAGGTTGTGACTCTATTGTAGTATTCACTTTGAGGTGGTCTGCAACTGAACCTGCAGTGTCTCCAGGGTATACCCATATATATATCCATTCAATAAAATGTTATTTGGCAATAAAAATAACTGAAGTTCTGGCTGGGCGTGGTGGCTCCTGCTTGTAATCCAAGCACTTTGGGAGGCTGAGGCGGGCGGATCAATTGAGCCAGAGTTCGAGACCAGCCTGGGAAATATGGCAAAACCCTATCTCTACAAAAAATACAAAAATTAGCTGGATGTGGTGGCACACGCCTGTAGCTTCAGCTAATTAGAAGGGTGAGGTGGGAGGATGGCTTGAACCTGGGAAGTGGAGGTTGCAGTGAGCCAAGATAGTGCCACTTGCACTCCAGCCTGGGTGACAGATTAAGACCCTGTCTTAAAAAAAAAAAAAAAAAAGTTCTGATACAAACTAAAACAATGATGAATCTTAAAAACATGCTAAGTGAAAAAATTTTTAAATATTGTATGATCTAATTTATGTGCAATATCCAGAATAGGTAAATCTGTAGAGACAGAAAATAGATTCATGGTTGCTTAGGGGTGGGAGAGGTTAGAGGGAAATGATAGTGTCCTGAAAAGGACATGAATAGACACTTTTCAAAAGAAGACATACATGTGGACAACAAGCATATGAAAAAAGCTTTATAACTGATCATTGGAGAGAGAAAATCAAGCTGGGCACAGTGACTCATGCCTACAATCCCAGCACTTTGGGAGGCCGAGGTGGGCGGATCACCTGAGGTCAGGAGTTTGAGACCAGCCTGGCCAAACATAGTGAAGCCCTGTCTCTACTAAAAATTACAAAAATTAGCTGGGCATGGTGGCAGGCGCCCGTAGTAATTTCAGCTACTCGGGAGGCTGAGGCATGAGAATCATTTGAACCTGGGAGGCAGAGGTTGCGGTGAGCCGAGATTGTGCCACTGCACTCAAGTCTGGGTGACAGAGCAAGACTTCGTGTCACAACACAACAAAACAAAAAACAAATGAAAATCAAAACCACAGTAAGTTACTACCTCACACCAGTCAGGATGGCTACAATTAAAAAGTTAAATAATAGATGCTGGTAAGATTGTGGCGGGGGGGAAAAGGGAACGCTTACACACTGTTGGTGGGAATGTAAATTAGTTCAGCCATTGTGGAAAATAGTGTAGTGATTCTTCAAAGAGCTAAAAACACAACTTCCATTCAACCCAGCAATCCCATTGCTGAGTATGTACCAAAAGGAATATAAATCGTTTTACCATAAAAACACATGCACACATATGTTCATTGCAGTGCTATTCACAATAGCAAAAACATGGAATCAACCTAAATGCCTGTCAATGATAGGCTGGATAAAGAAAATGTAGTATGTATACACCATGGAATACTACACACAGCCGTGAAGAAGGAGATCATGTCCTTTGCAGGAACATGGGTGGAGCTGGAGGCCATAATCCTTAGCAAACTAACACAGGATCACAAAATCAAATACCACATGTTCTCACAACTGGGAGCTAAATGATAAGGACATATGGACACAAAGAAGGGAACAATAGACACTGGTGCCCATTTGAGGGTGTTGGGTGCCCATTTGAGGATGTTGGGTGGGAGAAGGGAGAGGATCAGAAAAAACAAGCATTGGGTACTGGACTTGACACCTGGGTGATAAAATAATCTGTACAACAAATTCACGAGTTTACTCATATAACAAACCTGCACATCGCTGAACTTAAAAAAAAATCCCCAGAGAGTGACTGCTGAAAGGATACAGGTTTCTGTCTATAGCCATACCACCCTGAGTGTGCCTGATCTTGTCTGAAAGGATACAGGTTTCTTTTGGGGATGATGGAATGCTCTAAAATTGTAACAATTGCAGAATTCTAGATGTATTAAAAACCATTGAATTATATAATTTAAATATGTGACCAAGGAGGAAAAAATATGTGTAATGGGTAACAGAAGGTTAACTTTCTTGAATTACAGAGTTTTCTTAGGAATTAATGAGACTAACAACTGTTTTTTTTTTTTTTTTTTTTTTTTTTTTTTGTCAAAGGGATGAGGGGACACATAGGAAAAGACTATTCTGCACTTCTTTTAGTCAACACTAATAAACTCTTCTAGATGTTGTGAATACAGATGTGAAAAGTGCAGATACTGTGTCTGCTCTCCTGTAGAAAAGCTATGAAGAAATACGGTGGAGTAGAAGCAAAAGTTGTCCCTAGTTATCTTTAGGGAATCCAGGACCTCCTGTGCATAACCCAAATCCACAAATGCCGAAGTCCCTGATGTAAAATGGTACAGTATTTGCATCTAACCCATGCATGTCCTCCTTTATATATACTTTATCTCTAGATTACTTATACCTAATGCAGTGTAAATAGTTATACTGTATTGTTTCGGGAATACTGACAAATCTGTACATGTTTAATATGGACACATTTTAAAAAATACTTTTGATCTGCGGTTGGTTGAATCCAAAGATGTGGAACCCACAGGTAGGGAGTGCCGACTGTAATACAATTTTTTTTTTTTTTGGAGTTGGAGTCTTGCTCTGTTGCCCAGGCTGGAGTACAGTGGTGCAATCTCGGCTCACTGCAACCTCTCCTGCCTCAGCCTCCCGAGTAGCTGGGACTATGGGCATGTGCCACTATGTCTGGTTAATTTTTGTATTTTTGGTAGAGACAGGGTTTCACCATGTTGGCCGGGCTGGTCCTAAACTCCTGACTTCAAGTGATCCACCCGCCTCTGCCTCCCAAAGTGCTAGGATTACAGGCAGTAGCTACCATGCCTGGCCACAATTTCAAATTATACTCAGCAATATGAAGACTGAGCAATGGGATGTGATAAGGAATGATTAGGATGGGGGCAGGGGTTAGTGATTAAATTGCCGCCCCACATACAATTGAGGTCTCTCTCTCAGAAAGTAGCATTTAAGCTGAAGACTGAATAACAAGTAGTCAGCCATGTAGAGAAACTGGTTTAAGGCCAGAGCAGGAGTATTAAGCAGAACAAACAGCAGGGCCTTGGCGTGGGCCTGAACTTGGGATGTTTAAGAGGTACAGGGCTTTCCAGGGGGTGGGAAGTGTTGAATGGTAAAGCACAGATAACATAGGGGAGGCTATTGCAGTAGTTCAGGTGAGAAGTGTGTTGGCTTGGACTAGTATGGTAATAATAGAGACAAAATAAGTGGACAGATTTTGTGTAAATTTCAAGGTTAGGTTCAACAAGACGATTGCGGGGAATGGGGGAGAGAGGAGTCATTTTGTCTTGCACACTAATGTGGATCTGTTTTCTAAGATGGGGAACATGATGGGGAAAAGAGGGACAATTAACATGAAAGATACTCAATCTTAAGAACATATGGTAGACTCCTTGTCCTTCAGCTCAGAATCCCATCATTGATTTAAACAATGGGTTCTATTGTTTACCTGTCAGGTTCATAAAAAGTAAAATTTGGTAAGGGTACAAAGAAATAGTTCTCATATCGTTGGGAATTTAAATGGGTGTGGTTCTTGGGTCAATTTTGACCAACAGCTATCAATTTTAAATGTACTGGATTGTAAGGTGTATGCATTTAACAAGTATGCTTGCCCAAGTAAGTCAAGATCAATGTTGAGGGATGTTCATTGCCTTATTTGTAGAAGAAATAAAAACTACTAGAAGCAGCCTGAATGCTCATCAGTAGAGAAATGGTTAGATACATCATGTTCATGGAATGGACTGCCATGCTGCCATAAAATAATGAAGCTGATTTCTTTATACAGATATGGAAAGAACTCTTAAAATACTTGAAAAAAGATGTGAAATGGTATATTTGACCATTTGTGCATATATTTTTTAAAAGCTATGTGTATACATGCTTGTATACATAAAAATCTTTGAAAGGTATCTCTGGGGTAGGGAATTAGGTGGAGATAATTCTTCATATCCTCCTTGTTTGAAGTTGTACATGCTATTATTTTATTAACTCTTAATGTGGGGATGAACTTCCACATTAAGAAAACCTTTGGGCTGGATGCGGTCACTCACACCTGTAATCCCACACTTTGGGAGGCCAAGGCAGGTGGATCTCTTGAGCCCAGGAGTTCGAGACCAGCCTGGGCAATATGACGAAACCCTGTTTCTACAAAAAAAAAATACAAAAACAAAAAACAAACAAAAAAAAACCTAGTTGGATGTGGTGGCATGTGCCTGTAGTCCTGGCTGCTCCAGGGGCTGAGGTGGGAGGATCGCTTGAGCCTGGGAGGCAGAGGGTGCAGTGAGATGAGATCACACCACTGCATTCCAGCCTGTGTGACAGAGCCAGAGCCTGTCTCAAAACAAAAACAAAAACAAAACAAAACAAAATTTGGCCGTTATCCTCATAGTAGAATCTTAGAAGTACTGAACTACTTCTCAATGTTTGTACTTAGGTATAAACATACTCTTAAAACATATGACCAGATAGCATCCCAGAAAGGTTTTTTACTGAATTATTTTCTTAGGACAGCTCATCTTTCTTTAAATATACTATTTTAAATATATATTGTGAATTTCTCTGTCAGAGAGCCATACCTAGATTTTAATTTCTTAAAATTATCTGAATTTTTTTGAGTAGTTTACATTTGCTATAAACAATTTGAAAATTTCAGTAAAGATTCATACGTGCTACTACCTGTAGTCTACTTCAGTTGTTTTTGATGACTTTGAGTTCTCTCCGTATTTCTGAATATCTTCATGCAGCTGTCGTCTTGTATACAACTTACTCTCTTTCCCCAGCCACTTAAGTGTTCTCCTTTGTCATATGCTGAGGTATGTATTTTAATGGCTAAGTTCGTAGTCCATTTTGACAGAATAGTTATTTTCAGTTTTCGCAATTGATTGCATTGTGACAGGCATCTTTGTAGGTAAATCTTTCTTAGCATTTATGAGTATTTAGAGAGATTCTTATAATACAGTTACCAAGTTAAAGAGTTTTGATACTTTAAAAATTCTTGATGGTTAAATTCTCGATGGAGATACTGTCCTTCTGTGATTGTCTCAGCAGTTGGAGAGTCCTGTCTCACCATATACATAGAGAAGAAAAAATTACCTAAATGGCTCATCACCATTGAATATTGTAACTGTAATTTTTCAGTTTTGGTAAGCAGAATTCTCATTTTAATTCCCATTTTCTTTATAAGTAGAACAGTTATTTTTTCTGTTAGTCTTTTAAATCTTTTCCTATGTTGAATTTCCTGATAATCTTTTTTACAACTAGGGGGTGGCAACTATTGAAACTGTCTTAAAGACAATTGCAATTCCTTCTCTGTTGCAAAGTTGTATGTAGTGTGTTAATTCATTGTCATCTAGTTCCTAATGAATAAAATCCCTTGGGGAAAATGCTATAAGTCAGGCTTAGGGCAGCAGACATCCTTACTAGCAACTTTTAACTCTTTAAAATGTTAACAAAGGCTAGGAATAGTAATCGTCTTGAATTCACACCTGTGCAATTCCATGTCGCTAAGTATAGAGGGGAGTGTATGTGCACTGTATGTGTGAATCTAAATTTAGAATAGCTGTGAAACCAGCCTGAACCTACAACTTCTTTAGATTCTTTCCCGATGAACACAGAAATACAAACTAACTGTAGGTGGTCTACTCATTTTCATGCAGATTGATTGAAGTTAGTTTTTACCAGCAATCTGGCTGACCTGGACAAAAATGTAGCTTAGGTAACTTTTGGTTCTGACCAAAAACGCAGAGAAGGAGAGATCAAATTTATTTTATGTAATTTTTTTTAAAGGGGAATAACATTTAAAACTAGAGGCCTCTGTAAATAGTCTAGAGTTTAAAGCACTTTTAACATAGTGCTTAGAAAAGTATAACAAAATTATTTTTAGAGTATTCTTTCTTTTAGGGTATTTCTCTTTCTAGAGGACAATAAGTACTGGCTTATTGATGTAAAGGAAAAGCCACAGTATAAGAACTCATTCTTAAAGAGGGCAAAGGATATAAACTGAAAATTGATAGCTAGTGGCTTTTTTTTTTTTTTGTATCTGAAAAAAATGCTTCAACCTTCCAATCAAATTAGATTAACATTCCAAATGAGGTTAACAAATATCTGAAAGGCATACTTACCCAAGGAAATTCTAACTACTGTTCCCCTATTAGGCCAGAAACCACCTTACATACTTTTGTATCCTGATGTCTGTTTCCTTCCTAGCACCTTGCTCACAATTATACTTTATCACTTACACCATTATCAGGTTTTTCTCTACCACTACAATAGTAAACCCAAAAAGACAAGAGCTGTAACTTTTTTTTTTTTCTTCACTTATATCCTGGTTGCCTAGCTAGTGCCTGACACTCAAGATTCTCATTTATTAAGTAGTGTATTTTTTAACCTATCATATTGGCAGAACTTAAAGTTGAATAGTACCAGTGTTGGTAACAGTGTTCACAAATGCATAGGAAATGGTACAAAAGGAATATCTCAAACTGTTCATTCAGAGAAGAGAGTAGGATTGAGGACAAGGAACGCTGCCGAGATGTGAAAGTGATCATCTTTTACTTATTACTTGCATGCTATTTTAAAAAACAAAATGGAATTTTACAATATAATTGTATAAAGGGCATGGTGGGGGAAGGGCTCGGGTTTTGAATGAGATGAGTGCTTAGCTTGGTCAAATTGCTTCACCTGTTTTGTGCCATGGCTTTAATGCTTGTAAAAGGGATATAATGCCTGTCTTCTCCATGGGGTTGTTTTGAGGAATGTGGTGATAGTTGTAAGTTGCCTAGTTCTTCCTGGACTTCAAAAATAAGTTTTCTGCTCTTTTTCTCCCTTGAAAAGTGAGAATGTGATGTTTCATTTAAATTTTGAAAGTCTTATTCTGCATGGTACCACCCCCATCTGCTGGAATGTCCAGACTTTGCCGCTGAAAGCTTAACTGTTGGTTGTGTCTTGATCACAGTCTGTATTACTTCCACTTTGGAGAATGTGGTCTAGTTTCCAAACGTAGATATGTTGCATCATTTTGTCTGGAGAATAAATGAGTACATTTATGGGGGTAGAGGGAACTATGCAGAGATCAGCACTTAAGGCTTCTGGAATTAGTACTGGGGGGAGGGTCTTCCTACTGTGAAATAAAGGGCTTCCGCTAAATGCCCTCCAAAGTCACTCTTATTTTTAATGTTTTGTGGCTTATTTAAATTTATGATCCTAATATCATTTTGTCATTGAACTCCTGATGTCAAATTTGAAATCTAATATGGGCTTTTATCTGCAAAAACTACTCAAGTTTATTTAGGGGATGTTGTCACCTTACCCAGTTTAATAGCTTGCATTTTTTTTCTTGTTACAATGTGTTCACTGTAAAAAAAAAAAAAAAAAAAAGCAAATTAGGAAAAAAAAATTATGTCATCTTACTACTGAGAAATAACTATTGTTAACATTTTGGTGTATCTCTCCAGTTTTTTTTTTCAAACGTGTATATTAAATATTTTGAACACACTATTTGCCTCTTTTATCTTTGTGTTAATTTTTTATATCCCTTTTCAAGGCTACATAGCATTTTACTGTGTAGATAGATGCATTATGGGATTTTTTTTTTTTTTTTTTTGATGGAGTCTCGCTCTGTCTTGCCCAGGCTGGAGTGCAGTGGCGTGATCTTGGCTCACTGTAACCTCCTCCTCCCAGGTTCAAGCGATTCTCCTGCCTCAGCCTCTAGAGTAGCTGAGATTACAGGTGCCCACCACCACGCCTGGCTAATTTTTGTATTTTTAGTAGAGATGGGGTTTCACCATGTTGGCCAGGCTGGTCTTGAACTCCTGACCTCAAGTGATCCACCTACCTTTGCCTCCCAAAGTGCTGGGATTACAGGTGTGAGCCACCGCACCCAGCCTGCATTATGGGATTCTTAACCTGGGTACATGGATAGAATTCAGGGGGTCCAATAATTTAGACAGGTAAAAACTTGTATCTTCACGTTCAGTGATGTTTAACTGAAACGTAGCTTTTTTTTTTTTTTTTTTTTTTTTTGAGACGGAGTCTCGCTGTGTCACCCAGGCTGGAGTGCAGTGGTGCGATCTCCACTCACTGCAAGCTCTGCCTGCCGGGTTCATGCCATTCTCCTGCCTCAGCTTCCTGAGTAGCTGGGACTGCAGGCGCCCACCGCCATGCCTGGCTAATTTTTTGTATTTTTAATAGAGACTGGGTTTCACATTGTTAGCCAGGATGGTTTCTGTCTCCTGACCTTGTGATCCACCTGCCTCGACCTCCCAAAGTGCTGGGATTACAGGTGTGAGCCACCAAGCCCAGCTGCATTTCTTTTAACTGTAAGTTTAGGCAACAAGTCACAATATTAGCAGGACCTAATAATTTGGTATCAATAGGATGATCAGACAATTCATATTGATTCCTTTACAGGCATTGTACATACCTTGACATTTATTTACTATTTCAATATTATTACTATTTTATATGTTTTGAAACATTTTTCTTAGAAGGTTTATTGGTTTTAGCAGACTGCCAAATGGTTCATGATACAAAAAAGGTTAACCTCTGGCATTCAGTTTTCGTATTTTGGAGTTTGTTTAAATAGGTGCCTATTTTATACACTTATAAGAAGTACCTGAAGTTAAAGCTTTTGCCTGCATCTGTGATTATTTGGACATAGGATAAATTTCTAAAAGTAGTATTTCTTTATCAAAGAATAAATCTTTTGAAGCTTTCAATGTTTTTGTCAGATTGCTCTCCAGAATGTTGTACCAATTTACCCTCTATATGGAAATACCCTGCCTTCCTGTTTTAAATAACTGGCTTTTATATTATGTAGATGCAGTCGTGATTGGCACTGTAAAGGGTCTCCAATTTGATGTACTGTTTAAGGAACTTCTGCAGACCCCAATTTGAACAGTGTAGTGTCAGGTAAAGTAATGTTTCATTGTGTTTTGGTTATACTAGTTTTACTAAAACTAGTTGTTACCTACAACCTAGATGGCATGTTGTATTCAAGGACTCTGAACCAGAGTCTTCAGGATGGCGTGCTTCAGAACTCCCCCATACCATAAGCAGTAGATTGGATGATGCTAGCCTTGAATCAGCAGTCGTCTTTTTTGCTCTCCATGGGTAAGAAGTAAAATTATCGCCTTTGAAAATAATATATGCACATAGCAGCGAAATCTTAGAAACACCCGAATGTGAAATTGACTTTCTGCTGAATAAGTAGCAGATTGTGGAGAGAGTAGTGGGGAGGGTGAGGGAGTTAGTGTTAAGAATTAAACTCCTACAGCACTTTGGGAGGCTGAGGCGGGCGGATCACAAGGTCAGGAGATCAAGACCATCCTGGTTAACATGATGAAACCCCATCTCTACTAAAAATACAAAAAATTAGCTGTCGTGGTGGCCAGTGTCTGTTGTCCGAGCTACTCAGGGAGGCTGAGGCAGGAGAATGGCGTGAACCCGGGAGGCGGAGCTTGCGGTGAGTCCAGATCACGCCACTGCACTCCAGCCGGGGCAACAGAGTGAGACTGTGTCTCAAAAAAAAAAAAAAAAAAAAAAGAACTCCTAGTATGATGGGATAGGTTTAGTACACAGTATGGGGACCTGAGTGCAGAAAAGGGATCCTTTGCTAACTTAATGATAAAACAGGTCTGAGTAGGGTTATTATGTATGAGTGTAGACCTGGGTCTAGAAAGTGTCCCATTGTGGGAGAGAGGTCAGGGGATCAGTTAGTCCCTGTATTTGAGACCAACAAATCGAGATTTGGATCTTCTGCCTTTTAGTAGCTTTGTCGCTTATGGCCATCTCTGAGCCTTGTGTGCTTTCTAGTAAAAAAAGACGGGATGGCGAGGAATTTGACAAGGTGGTCTTTAAGCTTCTTTCCTGCTTTCTTTTGTGGCTGACTTTCTTAGCTGGTGCCAGGATATTAAGGGCTTTTGTCCCAGAGATTTTTATCCTGCATGCAGTAGTTACTTGTTTGGTCTATCCTTGCTAAAGGGCCTGAATTACGCAGAACACTCCCGTTTGTAAAAAATCAAACACCAAATTAGAACTTACTTTAGTAAAATGTGGGGTATGTTGGAACGCTGTTGATACAAAGCTCATAGAATAGGAAGGAATCACTGGAAAGCTAGGGATACTGAATCTGTGGCCTCCAATTTTGTCTATTTCTGTCTTTCCTCTGCTCATTTCCCAGTGTGAGTTTCATTATCTCCTTTTGCAGAGTTGCCAGTTATGAGAAAGGGTATATGCTCACATCCTTTGGCATCATGGACAATCAGGAAATAGTTCTTTTTCCATTATATACAGTTAGAAAAATCTCAAGGAAAGATACCCAGCTAGCTTGGCTTAAGTCATACCCATACCTGGACTGGTCTCTGTAGTCATGGGAATGGGTAATTCTTGCCCAGCTTGAGTCAGATACTTACCTATGGGACCATCACTGTAACCAGTGAGGTAGAATGCTGCAAGAAGATGCCATTGTCTTTAGGACCACTTGGATGGCAATTCAACAAAAGCAATTCAACAAAAACCTGGTGTCGGGGAGATTTTTAAAAACATTGGGGATTCATGAATTAGGCAACAGCAATCTTCAAACATTTGGGTACAACCTAATTTTTAAAAAAAATGTACACCGCAATGAGATACCAGTTTACACTTGTTAGGATGGCCATTATTAAAATGTAAATTGTCGGCAAGGATATGGAGAAATTAGAACATTTGTGCATTGCTGGTGGGAATGTAAAATGGTACTGCTGCTGGGGAAAAGAGTGTGGTGCTTCCAAAAAAAATTAAACATAGTGTTACCATATGATCCAGCAATTCTCCTTCTAGGTATACACACAAAAGAATTGAAAGCGAGGACTTGAACACATATTTGTATGCTAGTGTTCATAACAGTACTATTTACAATAGTCAAAAGGTAGAAACAGGAAACAACCCAGGTGTCCATCAGTGGATGAATTGGATGGATGAACAAAATGTTGTGTACGATGCAAAATTAGGAGCTTTAAAAAGGAAACCTAGCACAGTAGTGCACACCTGTAGTCCCAGCTACTCGAGAGGGTGAGGCAAGGAAGGATCATTTGAGCCCAGGAGTTTGGGGCCAGCCTGGACAACATAGCAAAATCCTATCAGTGAATGAATGAATGCATGCATGCCAGGCATTGGCTCATGCCTGTAATTCCAGCACTTTGGGAGGCCTAGGTGGGTGGATCACTTGAGCCCAGAGGTTCAGCAACAGCCTGGGCAACATGGGGAGACTTCCATCTCTAAAAATTTAGCCAGGCTGGTGACATGCACCTGTGGTCCCATCTACTTTAGAGGCTGAGGTGGGAGGACTGCTTGATCCTGGGAGGCTGAGGCTGTAGTGAGCCATTATTGCGTCATTGCATCCCAACCTGGGTGACAGAAGGAGACCCTGTCTCAAAAAAAGAAAAAAAAAAAAGAAATTGGGGACGTACTGCAACATGGAGGAACCTTGAAGACATTATGCTAAGTAAAATAAGCCTGATACAAAGGAAAAATATTGTATAATTCCACTTACAAGGTCCCTACAATAGTCAAATTCATAGAGACAAAGTAAAATAATGGTAACCAGGGGCTAGGAGGAGAGGGTAGTGGGGAATTAGTGTCTAATGGTACAAAATTTTAGCTTAGCGTAAAAAAAGCTCTAGAGGTGAAGAGTAGTGATGCTTGCACAAAAATATGAATGTACTAATGCCTCTGAATTGTATGCTCAAAAATGGTTAGAGTGGTAAATTTCATGTATATTTTACCACAATAAAATTTTTAGTACAGGGTACCCCTTGCATATTTAACTTGGTATCTACATTTTTATTATAAGTGAAACTGTAGATTTACAATAGTAGAGAGATTTGAGACCTATTATCTATTTTAAAATATTTAAACCAGTTCTTTAACAGGGGGAAACTTTTCATTATTTCTTTTTTCTTCTTCTTCTTTTTTTTTTTTTTTAAGACAGAGTCTTGCTCTGTCTCCAGGCTGGAGTGCAGTGGCATGATCTCAGCTCACTGCAACCTCCGCCTCCCAGTTTCAAGCGATTCTTCTGCCTCAGCCTCTCGAGCAACTGGGACTACAGGCACGTGGCACCATGCCCAGCTAATTTTTAGTATTTTTAGTAGAGAAGGGGTTTCACCATGTTGGCCAGGATGGTCTCGATCTCTTGACCTCATTATCCGCCTGCCTTGGCCTCCCAATGTGCTGGGATTACAGGTGTGAGCCACCGCGCCTGGCCCATTATTTCTTTTCTCCTAGTATTTGTAGTCCACTTCTCCCGCTGAGTTTTATCTTAATGTAATATTTTGTGCTTGAGAGTCTTTTTTTTTTTTTTTTTTTTTTTTTTTTTTTTTTTTTTGAGACGGAGTCTCACTCTGTCGCCCAGGCCGGACTGCAGACTGCAGTGGCGCAATGTCGGCTCACTGCAAGCTCCGCTTCCCGGGTTCACGCCATTCTCCTGCCTCAGCCTCCCGAGTAGCTGGGACTACAGGCACCCGCCACTGCGCCCGGCTAATTTTTTGTATTTTTAGTAGAGACGGGGTTTCACCTTGTTAGCCAGGATGGTCTCGATCTCCTGACCTCATGATCCACCCGTCTCGGCCTCCCAAAGTGCTGGGATTACAGGCGTGAGCCACCGCGCCCGGCCGTGCTTGAGAGTCTTTTGTTGATCACATGTCATCCTTCTCTGTAACAACAAAAGTACATAAACTGAAATTTTAAATTATTTCCTGTGTCTCAAAGGTGATAATGATGATTGTTAGGGCAATTAAGGCAATCTAAATGTTATAAATCTTGATAAAGTTTTATTCTTTAATAATTGTTTATTGGAAATGCTTGTTTTGTTTTTTGTTTGAGACAAGGTACCTGTCGCCTAAGCCAGAGTGCAGTGGCGCAATCATGGTTCATCGTAGCCTCAACCTCCTCAGTAGCTGGGACCACAGACAAACACCACCATGTCCAGCTATTTGTCTTACTTTTTGTAGAAACGGGGTCTCCCTGTGTTGCCCAGGCAGTCTTGAACTCCTGGGCTCAAGTGATCTTCCTGCTTTAGCCCCCTAAAGTGTTGGGATTACAGATGTGAGCCACCACACCTAGCCTGGAAATAGTTTTTAATGACATAAATTGAGGTCTTTTAAAATCTCATGTAATTTTAAGGCTGGGCATGGTGGTTCATGCCTGTGATCCTAGCACTTTGGGAGGCCGAGGTGGGTAGATCACATGAGGTCAGGAGTTCAAGACCAGCCTGGCCAACATGGTGAAACCCTGTCTCTACTAAAGTTCAAAAATTAGCTGGGCGTGGTGGTGCATGTGTATAATCCCAGCTACTCGGGAGGCTGGAGCAGGAGAATTTTCTGAGCCTAGGACGTGGAGGTTGTAGTAAGCCAAGATTTTGCCATTGCAGTCAGGACGACAGAGTGAGACTCTCTCAAAAAACAAAACAAAACAAAAAAACATGTAATTTTGTATGACTGACTTATTGCTGGAATGACTTGGGGTTTTTTTTGTTTGTTTGTTTTTTTGAGACAGAATCTTGCTTTGTTGCCCAGGCTGGAGTGCAGTGGCATGATCTTGGCTCACTGCAACCTCCGCCTCTTGGGTTCAAGTGATTCTCCTGCCTCAGCCTCCTGAGTAGCTGGGACTACAGGTGCACGCCACCACACCCGGCTAATTTTTGTATTTTTTAGTTGAGATGGGGTTTCGCCATGTCTGGTCTCGAGCTCCTGAACTCCAGTGATCCACCTGCCTCGGCTTCCCAAAGTGCTGGGATTACAGGTGTGAACCACTGTGCCCACCAACTTGGAATTTTCAACACTGTATATATACATTTTGTTTCCATAGGTTTGTGCCCTGAGTAAACTTGTTCACATAAAATAAGTAGATGGGGAATGAACTAGTTCATACAATTCTTTGATTTAGTTCTGTGCAAAAAATTAGTCATGTATTATTATTTTTAGTCATCTACTGGCTGATAGTTGCGTTCATTCCTCCTTCATATTGGTTGAAAAGAAAGAACGGAAAACCAGCTAATTTGTGAAAAGACGTTTTACCTAGTCATACCAGACATGGAATTACTCAGTTTCCTAACTATACCAATAATGCTTTATCAATGTAGCTTTTTTATTTTTTATTTTTTTTTGAGACGGAGTCTCGCTCTGTTGCCCAGGCTGGAGTGCAGTGGCACGATCTCGGCTCACTGCAAACTCCGCCTCCTGGGTTCACGCCATTCTTCTGCCTCAGCCTCCCGATTAGCTGGGACTGCAGGCACCTGCCACCATGCCCGGCTAATTTTTTGTATTTTTATTAGAGACGGGGTTTCACCGTGTTAGCCAGGATGGTCTCGATCTCCTGACCTCGTGATCCACCTGCCTCGGCCTCCCAAAGTGCTGGGATTACAGGCGTGAGCCACCGTGCCTGGCCCAATATAGCTTTATCAATGCTATATTTTTCAGATGAGGCTGAATGCAGTGGCTCACACCTGTAATCCCAGCACTTTGTGAGGCTGGGGCAGGCAGATCACTTGAGCTCAAGAGTCTGAGAACAGCTTGGGCAACATAGCAAGACCCTGTCTTTACAAAAATATACTTCCCAAAAAAATTAGCCAGGTATGGTGGCATGCACCTGTAGTCCCAGCTACTTGGGAGGCTGAGGTAGGAAAATCTCTTAAACCTGGAAGTCTAGTCTGCAGTGAATTGTGTTTATGCCACTGCATTCCCGCCTGACAGAGCAAGATTCTGTTTCTAAAAATCCATCTCAAAAAATAAAAACAGATTTGAGATTACTACTATGTCTGTCCTTCACTTAGACACACCTTAATTCAGTATACTTAAAAGATAGAGAAAACTTAAAATAGTTTTTGTGCAACATTTGTAGGAAATTAAAAAAAAATTTTTTAAGTTAGTTTAAAAATACACCTTTGCAGTCGGGCACAGTGGCTCACACATGTAATCCCAGCACTTTGAGAGCCTGGGGTGGGAGGATCCCTTGAGCCCAGGAGTTCGAGACCAGCCTGGCCAACATAGTGAGACTCTGTCTCTACAAAACAATAAAAATAGTTGGACATAGTGGTGTGCCTATAGCCTCAGCTGCAAAAACAAAACAAAACACACCTTTGCCAACATGCTATTTAAAAATGATTTAATCTTACCATTTGCTTTAAGTATGTTTTGTCAAAGCCATGGGCCTATAGATTTAACTTTATTTACAGAAAAAAATTTCTACTATAATGCCTCATTTAATGGAGTCCTGTTTTTGGAGACGGGGTCTCACTCTGTCACCCAGGCTGGAGTGCAGTGGCGTGGTCTCAGCTCACTGCATCCTCTGCCTCCTAGGCTCAAGCGATCCTTCCACCTCAGCCACCCAAGTAGCTGTGACTACAAGTGTGCACCCACCATGCCCGGCTGATTTTTTGTATTTTTATTACAGACGGGGTTTTGCCATGTTGCCCAGGCTGGTCTCAAACTCATTGGCTCAAGCTATCCACCTGCGTTGGCCTCACAAAGTGCTGGGACTACACGTATGAGCCACCACACCCAGCCTGGAGTCAGTTTTTATTGTCAAATCAATTAGTTCAGTCAGACTTTCATTTTTTCAGAAAAAGTCTGACTTTATTTTTTTCTCAACATTTTAGTAACATTTTCAAGCATACATAAAAGCTAAAAGAATTACAAAGTGAACACCTGTAATACCACCTAGATTGAACAGTGAACATCTTGTCATATTTGCCTTATCACATATCTTTAAATTGTAGACATTGCTACAGTTTACCCCAAAATCCTTCACCATGCATATCATTAACTAGTATTCAATACTATATTTGTTTATAACTTTTTTGAGGTAAAATTTATATGCAGTGAAGAGCACAAATTCTAAATGTGTCATTAGATCCATTCTGACTGATGTATCCTCACTCTCATCAAAATATACACACTGTTAGCATCACCTCAGCTACTTTCCTTGTACCCCTTCCTAATCTACCTGCCTACTTCCTGCCAGAGGCAACCACCTGATTTTTTTCACCATTTATTAGTTTTGTCTGCTCTAAAAATTCAAATAAGTGGAATTATATACATATGTAACTTATGTACGGCTTTTTCCACTCACCATAATTATCTTATTGTTGCCTGTATTATTCCTTTTTATTGCTGAATAATAGTATGGTATATGCATGTACTACATTTTGTTCTGTTGATTCTCACATGGACTGAATCCACGTTTGGGTGATTATGAATAAAGCTGCTATGACTATTCTTGCACAGGTGTTTTATTAGACATACACTTTTACTCCTCTTAGTTGAATTCCTAGGAGTAGAATTTCTGGGTCATAAGATAATATGTGTTAGTTGTGTAAGAAATGGGCAGACCATTTTTCAAAGTGGATGTACCTTTTCTCCCATTGAAAAGGAAGAAAATATATAAGCGTTTTCATAAGTACAAGGTGGATGTACCATTTACGGTAATGAAGCTTTGATTGACAACATCAAATGTTGGCAAGATGTGGTACAGTCTTTTAAATTTTAGCCATCTAGTAGGTGTGCAGTAGTGTCTCACTGTGGTTTTAACTTGGATTTCTTTGACTAATGATTTTGAGCACTTTTTGAAGTTCTTATTGGCCATTTATATAATCCTTGTGAAGTGCTTTTCAGATTTTGTGCCTTTTAACAATTGAGATTTCGTTACTTTTCAGTTAAGATTTCTTTTACTGATTTGTCAGATATGGTTGTGGGTATTTTCTCACATATTGTGGCTTGCGTAATTATTTTCTTAGTGGTATCTTGATGAGCAGAAGTTTTTCGTTGTGATAAGGTCAGCTTATCAACTTTCTCCATGATCATTGCTTTCTGTACTCTACATAAAGAAACCCTTGCTTCTATGTACTCCCCCTCCCCTACCAAGTTACAAAGATAGGTTCTTAGAGAGGCTTTGTAGTTTATACTTAGCTTTCACTTTTACGTCTCTGATATCTACTAAATTAATGTTTGTATATAGGTCAGAGTTTATTCCCTCCTCCCCATATGGTGTTCCAGTGCCATTTGTTAAAAAGTTTTTCCCCAATGAATTGCTTTAAGTCTGGTATATTGGGATTACACAGATGTGCAGATGGCCCCAGACTTAGGTTGGTTCAACTTTGGTTTTTGACATGATGATGGTGTGAAAATGATACGCATTCAGTTGAAATTGTACTTTGAGTATCCATACGACCTTTCTGTTTTTATTTTCATTACAGTATTCAATAAATTACATGAGGTGTTCATCACTTTATTATAAAACAAGTTTTGTGTTAAATTATTTTGCCCTACTGTAGGCTAGTGTCAGTTTTCTGAGCACAGTTAAGGTATGCTAGGCTAAGCTATAATGTGCAGTAAATTAGATGTATTTAAATGCATTTTCCGTTTATAATATTTTCAACTTACAATGGGTTTATCAGACCATAACCCCACTGTAGTTGAGGAACATCTGTATATTAATTTTGTGGGTATCACTTTTTAGCGCTGTTGAGTCTTCCAGTACATGAACATGGTTTATGATTTTTTTTTTTTTTTTTTTTTTTTTTTTTGAGACCGAGTCTAGCTCTGTTGCCCAGGCTGGAGTGCAGTGGCACGATCTTGGCTCACTGCAACCTCTCCCCTTCCTGGGCTCAAGCAATTCTCCTGCCTCAGCCTCCTAAGTAGCTGGGACTGCAGGCGTGTGCCACTGTGCCTGGCTAATGTTTTTTGTATTTTTAGTAGAGACAGGTTTTCACCACGTTGGCCAGACTGGTCTTGAGCTCCTGACCTCAAGCGATCTGCCTGCCTCAGCCTCCCAAAGTGCTGGGATTACAGACTTGAGCCACTGCACCTGGCCTCAAATATTTTCTTTAATCCTCACAAAACACCTAAAAGATGGCTACTGTTGCATCTTTAAAGAAGAAAAGATTCTCAGAAAGACACAGTGGCAGACCTGGTGAGCAGAGCAAGGTCTGTCAGTCATCTAAAGCTGTTGATTTTTCCAGCCTGCCACACTAATGGTTTTAACAGGTATGGCCTGCATTGAGTTGGAGCTAGTGAAGAAATCCTACAATGGTAGTGAAAATCTTTATCTAGAAGAAACAACAGATTGAGGAATGTCTGGATAAGGAGGAAGGTGAGGTCTGTGGTGGGGGTTGTAGGGGTGAGGGTAGAATTATACTGTGTGTAGAACTCCAAGCTCCTGGATGCATGTAGCCATTTGGTCTTAAATGGGTTTAACAGACCTGTTGCTCAGGCCTGGGGTCTTTCAGCTTGGGGTGGGAAGATTGTGTTAGTTGTACACATCAGTACTGTTCAAACTTTTGAGATGGGAACTACTTTGTCGCCCAGGCTGGAGTACAGTGGTGCAGTCATGGCTTTCACTGCTGCCTTGAACTCCTGGGCTCAAGCAATCTTCCCAAAGTTCTGGGATTATAGGCATGAGCCACCACACCCGACTGCTCAAACTTTTTTTGCATACATATATATTAACTGGGGATCTTGTTAAAATGCAGATCTCAATTCTGTCGGTCTTGGGTGGGGCCTGAGACTCAGTATTTATAACAAGCTCCTGGTGATGCTCATATTGCTGGTCTGCCACACTGTATTTTGAGTAGCAAGAGCATAGTTGATTCTCTCCTCGTGAGGGATGGGGGTAATCATATGCACAGTCACCCTGATTTTAATGGGTAGAAAATGGCTGCTTCTAGACATAGATGCCCTCAGATTGGGGTATGGGGATTATATAGATATTTGGTGTAGGGGAGAATAGATACTTAAATATGGATGTTTTTGAAGGAAGCATTGTGTTTTGGTAACTAATATGTATGGGTGAAGTCTAAAGTATATCCTTAGCTTGAGGGAAGGGTGAACATAGAGAAGCAGGAGGGGAGTAGTCAGGGGTAGGGGCAGCACCAGTATGGGTGATTTTTGCTAGGCCTTTGCCATGATGAACAAGGCTTTGACAAACACAGATAGGGAGCAAGCAGAATATCTACAGCCAGGAGGAATAACGTGGATGGATGACACAGCAGCAAAGCTTTAAAAAAAAAAAAAAATCTCCAAAGGAAGGAGACTGATAATTTTCCCTTCTAGGCTATGCCTGAGTGCCTGTGGACACAGGGTGTACTGCAGGAAGTTCTGAACAGCTATTTCTGTGGCAGCATTATTCTCTCGACCCTGCCATGGGAGGTCCCAGGTGGGCATGCTTCCCGTATCTGCTTGCTTCTCCTTGCAACAGGGGAGAACAAGCAGGTGGAGTGCTACCAGCTGAGTCCAGGTTTGAGCAGCCTGCCTGGTGAGTCTGGGCCTGTTGCCCTACCCTCCTTTATGAGGAAGAAGCCCAGTGACCCTGGGCTCATGTTGGAAAAGGACCGATGTGGGAGGAGATGGCAAAGAGGAAATGGCGGAAGCTCCAGAAGCTGAATTTTCTTAGTCTTTGTTGCTGGAGCTGTGAGTGGCCACAGAAATAAGCATTGGTCTTGTGCAGCACCTCTGAGAGAGGGCCTGGATGTTAGAGGCATCAGTGGCCCTCACGGCTGCCCTGTATCATGCTCAGGGCTCCTGGAAGGGCAAGAGAAGCAATATTGACAGAGCTAGGTGATTAGGTTTCAGAGTTTGGTGTTTCTAATAGGGCGTAACGATACTTCAGAGACTGTTTCTCTTGGTTTGTCAGATGCTGCTTCGAGAGTGTTTCCTCAGTCTGTGCCTACAGTTGCAGGAGGGAGGGGAGGAGCTGAGCCGCTGTATCTGTTCATGACTAATACCCATCTTGTTGGGATGAGGGAACCTGGGCACAGGGATTATCCTAGTCAGGGCAGGTCTCACTCTGGCATGTGGGTTGTGGGCCATGTCCTTTGAGGTGTACCTGGAACAGCCCAGTGACTCTCCCCCACTCTGCCAACGCTTACCCCCTTTCTCTGTGATAAGCTGCTCTAGACAAGCCTGGAACACCAGGTGTTGTTCCCCAGGGTCCAAGTGTACAGTATTTTTCTGAAGGTTATCTTGTTCCTCAGTGGTAAACACTGCTGTGTCAGGGTGCTGCTCAGGGGCCACTTGGAGCACAGATTTTTGCTAGCAGGACTGTGAAGCTTTGCATTGGGCTGCAAAGCCAGGGCTTGAGCCAGCAGCTGGAGAGAGTCCAGGACTAGAGTGTTTTTGGGTTTGGGGGTGGAGAGCAGGGGGAGGGAAAGGGAGGGGCAGGAGGGCAGAGCCACACGAGCAGGCAGTCGGCTGCTTTGGCTCTGCTGTCGGCGGAGAGGACTTCAGTCGTGCGTGAGGGCTGCTTGGCCACCATTGCTGGAGACCGGAGGGCGCTGCCTTGCAACCCAGACTTAACGGCACTGCACCGGGACTATTCCAAGTAGCTGTTGTGCTGTCTTTCCCTGGGAGGCAAGTCTCCTCCCTGTCGTCCCCTCCTGCTCCTCCCCCGTTCTGTGAGGGATGATGCCGCTCTCTATTGCACGGCTCAGCCGGCTGATGTCACTGGCAGCGGGAAGCATCAGCAGCCTGATCACATGCTGGCCCAGTCTGTAATGCAGACGGGATAGGGGTGTGTGTGTGAGGGGAGGGGGCCTGTATGGCAACTGCTCTTGCCCCAGCGTCCCCAAAAGTGCAGAGGCAGCGGCTGCAGCATCCAGCCAGCTTGGATGTCTGGCCTGTGAGCCTGGGGAAACTATTATTAATAATATTTACTGTTGATAATATTGGGGAAAACAGCCCTTAACTCTGAGGTTTCTGCTGTGCTCCTTTCCAAAACAGACTTCCAGGACTCTGAAGAAACAGTTACAAGCAGGATGCTTTTCCCAACCTCTGCGCAAGAATCTTCCCGTGGCCTCCCAGATGCAAATGACTTGTGCCTTGGCCTGCAGTCCCTCAGTCTGACAGGCTGGGACCGACCCTGGAGCACCCAGGACTCAGATTCCTCAGCCCAGAGCAGCACACACTCGGGTGAGTGCCAGAGAATGAGTTGGCTGGGGTAAGGGGATGCATGGGGGTGGTGAACGAAGATATCCACAGCAACAGTTGTTCTGTTCCCCTTTGCATCACTCCCCACCATACACACATACAACATGGAGCTGTTTTGCAAGAGATGGAAATGCAAGCTGTGAGTGTGGCAGGACAGATGGCTCCACGTAAAGGCAGGCATGGCTCTTCCACTTACCCTGATAAATTCCCTGGAGTTGTTAGTCTGCACCTGGAGTGGCCCTGAGGAGGGTCCCCAAGGCGTGGTGGCCTTGTGCAGAAAAGATCCAGCTAACCCCCTGGTGCCCAGGCCTGTCTTGGAGATGATGAAGCAAAACACTTTTAGGTGGGGGAGGGGAGTTAAGGGGTTGATTACTGGATGACCAGAATTACTCAGTGGTTTTAAAAACCAGGGAGTTATATGAAGAGTGAGTGGTCTCTGAATCATGGCAAGGGAAGGATTTTAACCTCAGATGAGGCTGGATAATGCACTGAGATATTTGGAATTGACTTAACATAGGGTTCAGAGCATTGATCCTGGAAAGGGGTAGGCAGGGTGAGTGGGGTGGGGTAACTCCCAGCTATAGAATCTTTTTTTTTTTTCCCTTTGTGTTGAGAGTGACCAGCTGGATAAAAGAAGAGCCACTCCCCTTTAGGATCCCTTGTCTTCTTGGTAGGGTTCAGTGGGGACAAACTAAAGGGACTTCTTGGCAGCCCCCCCTTAAATTGCTTCTGCTTATACCTTCTGTTACCTGTTTATTTCCCTCTTGTGGTACAAGGAGGAGGGTTGCCTAAATACAAGTCTTGGAGTATTCAGGAAGAAATGTGAACTTAAACACTACAGGTATACTTACAAGCTACATATTTTGCTTTATGTAAATTATAATAAAGAGGTATTGGCAGCAGATACTCTAGGAAAATGAAAAGGTGGTAAGGGGCGGGGGGGAGGGGGTGGTACAGCCATTCGCTGTTGGTACTGACAGTGGGAAACACCAAGTCTGCTGTCCTTCCCTTCCCTCCCTGGTCCAGGAACCGGCAGCCATGGCAGCAAGGTACTGTCTTGTTGATTTCTGTGGCCTCCACCCTGTTTGGCGCAGGTCTTTTTTTAGAATGCTTTGCAGAGCCTGGGCCCGTTGTGTCTGTTAGGCATTTTAATGCCCAGTTGTTTTGGTAAAACCCCATTTAGGAGAGGGGTATTGAAATTGTTTTATGTGGATGTGGATGGGGAGAGCTTTACCTTAAGTAACTATCTCTGGGTTAAGATAGGGTTTCTTGAAGTACTGGCCTTCTGCTGACTCAGGTTTTTCCAGAAAGGTCAGCAACTACCCTGTTCCCCTGGGCAAGGAAGTATGGTATCACTGTTTGGTATTCTATGCCTGGAGACCACGGTACTTTGTTTTGTGTGTTCTTGACGCCAACCTTGGGGGCCTATGAAGCCAGCCTCCCCTGTCCTCACTTCCACCGTATCTGAGCAAAAGATAGAAGAACTCACACAGGAGATGGGCACCTGTCTGTGGGTGATCAGTGTTTGACCAAGGCACTGTCTTTCATTGGCATCAGGTTGAAGTATAGCCCTTCTTTGGCTCTCATTCTCTAAGCTACAATGCTCTTTCTGAAATACATTATAACATTGGGCCCATAGAAATGCAGGTGTGCCCCACTGGGGGCTTGGAGAGCTTGGTCTGAAAGTTACTATGAAATTGAGCTATTAAAAGTAGCTTGGATCTAGTCATAATATCCACAGCTTCTCCACCACCTGAAAGGCCTGTGCTTGTAGCTGTTTGTCTCTGAAATAGAAATGGTTTTTCTTTTCCACTTTCCATCCCAAGCACTTTAGTGATAAATATTACATGATTTTGTCGACCAGGGAGGGACTGCAGCCTGAGCCTCAGAATTCATAAGGACCAGAACCAGAGTTGCCCCAGCAGTATGATCTGGCTGTGTAGGCAGGTTAGTGTGGGTATGTTTTCCTTTCTGAGGGTTGAGGACACACCCATCCCTAATCGTCATGTTGCCTTTGGTTTTGGAGCTGTGGTGACAGCCATTGCTCTTCTTTCCCTGGGCTCTGGGCCTTCTTGGAAAGCCCACATGAGGGTACTACCTCCTGGAGTAGGATGCAGCCCTCCCACCAGCCAGCTGCAGTGCCAGATCGTGCACCCTCACCAGCAATGCGGGAACATGCAGCCCACATTCCAGTGCCTACACTGCCTTTCCGTCTGAAAACCAGCTAGCTCAGTTGCTTCAGTGAGGGAGGAGGCTTTCAACAGCTCTGGGCATTTTCGGAGTTATCCTTGCAGATACCCTGTTACACTGTTGTCTCTGTGTAGAGACCAAGATGCAAGCTTATTCCTTGAGCTCTGCTTGGTGATATATTGCCCAAGGCAGCTATGGCATCACATCTGACCATCTTCTACCACTCTTAAGTAATGAGCAAGGTTGGAGATAGTAGGGCTGTTGGCTAAATTCATCTGGCAAACGTCGAGCATTCGTTGTGTGCAGCACTGGAAGTACAACATTGATTAAGATAAAATTGTTACCTTTAAGAATCTCCGTGGCTATCAAAGGAAAACAAATGAGGAGGTATACCGAGTGCTGCATCTGCTATGATAGGGGCTTTCATTTTTTCCCCTAAGGATTTTCTTCATTGTAACAACCTTTCATTGGATTCTTAGCTTTAGGCTGGTACATGGATACCATTCTCCAGGGGCCAGAGTACTTCTGCTATCTAGATTTCCTTGGCCTCAGAGTCCTGCAAGAAGACCCTGGGATAGAGTCTGTTTTTGAGAATTGTACCTGCAAGGCCTGCATGGGCTTGGATGTAACACTTTGTGGGGTCCTTCTCTTCTAGACTGTGCCTACCCTGAGGCACTATCCCTTGATGGGGAGGAAGACTTTGGGGGCAAGATGAGTGTTATAAGTGCGTTTTTCTCATACCCCAGTGCTACCCTTTCTCATGTCCAGGGCTACCCTTGTCCTGCTTGCAATGTCTTAAGATCTGTAGTGGAACAGAAGGGCTGTGGAAACTGTCCTCAGTATCCTGGAATGGGGCATGGAGTGACTAATAACCACCATTTATCGACTAATTTTTGTGCTAAGTACATCACATGATTTTAATGCTTGTACAGATGAGGAAATAGGCTCATGGAGGTTACAAAGTGCCCAAAGTGACACAACTCCTGGAAGGCTCAGAATTCTAACCCAGGTCTCTGGTTACAAAATTCATATGCTTCCTGTTACACCTGTGGTCCTGTTAGCAGAACTCTAACATATTGGGTGAGAAAACTTAAAGTAACCATATACTACTATAGGGGCTATTCAGCTAGAGGTGATGTGCTCCCTTGATGAGATCTCTGAAGGTGAGGGCATATGGTAGACAGTTCCAGCCCCATCTTGATCCCTGAGTCTCAGCTTATCAGCTGTACCACCCGCTGGATTTGTCTTCCTGCCTTCCCCCTTGCGACTCTTTTGTGTGCAGCATTATGCAGCAGAAGAGTGAGGTGACTGAGACTACTGTGGGGGACCTGGAAACAAGGACTCTCTTAATGATGCCTTGTACAGAAGCCCAGTGGGCAGACCAGATGTGCAGTCTAAGGTTGCCAGAGGACATGTCTGTTTTTTGCCACTCCCCTTTAGAAGTCTCTTGAGGACTAACCTGTTCACACTCTGGTTTTCTTTTCTTTTCTTTTTTTTTTTGAGATGGAGTCTCACTCTGTCGACCAAGCTGGAGTACAGTGGTGCGATCTTGGCTCACTGCAACCTCTGCCTCCCGGGTTCAAGCAATCCTCTGCCTCAGCCTCCTGAGTAGCTGGGATTAGAGGTGCCCACCACCACACCGAGCTAATTTTTTTTTTTAAAGTAGAGACGGGGTTTCACCATCTTGGCCAGGTGGGTCTTGAACTCCTGACCTTGTGATCCACCCGCCTCGGACTCCCAAAATGCTGGGATTACAGATGTGAGCCACCGTGCCTGGCCCACACTCTGGTTTTCTACCCTAACTGCTAATCAGTGAATGGAATGTTCCCTGTGCTGTGTCACTTGCAGGCTCCCCATTGATCTGCAGGCTACATCAGCCTAAGATGAGTGGGGAGTCTTAAGCAATTTTCATCTGAAGCTTCTTCCAAACAACCATTCTGAGGCGACATTCAGAACGGGATTAGGTCTCTCTTATGTGGAACATGGACTTCCTCGGCCCAACCAGGTCTCTTGTAAATCTTCCTCAACTCCCAGTTCTCCAATACTATATTCCCAGCAGTACAACAGTGCTTGGCTAATGGCTGTCTAATACATATTTTTTGAATGAATGATGAGTGCTGAGCCACTGTGTTTATCCTGGTTGTTTTTTAACTGCAGAGTTCAGACAAGGTCTCTCCCATTCTTCTGCCTCCTGCTTGTGTTGATTTAGCTGGATGGACAGATTCTTCAAAGATCAGTATCTTGGGCCCTGTAGCTTCTAGGGGACGGTGATGTAATTATACAAAGTTTTCATCATACAGTGGAGCATGAGCTGTATTGTGGAGTCAAGTAGTCTATTTGGGAAAGCTTTCAGTGCAGAGAGGAGGGAGAACCTGGGAAGCAGTGTGGCCAGGGAGGCCTCCTAGGTGAGAAAGAAGTTGAGGTGGTTAGTGACAGGGGCAGGATGTGTGCTGACCTTACAAGGGACATGAATATGTCTTTTCTACAGGTAATGGAACTTGCCTGATGATCAAGACTGGGAGTTATACTGGGGAGAAGGGCTGTGTTTGTCACTAACTTGAACTTGTGGGATCCACAGTCGGGGGGAAGTCCACACTCTGTTTACCGCCACAGTAGAGATATGGTATAGAGTTGCAGATTTGGGGTCACAGGCAGAGTGGTCTGTTTTCATACATGGAATGAATGCTACTCTCCCCCCTTCCTATTCCTTCAGAGAGATCCTGAGTAAGCAACCTAGAACCAAGGATGGTGATAGGGAAGAAGGGTTCCAGGTATACGGCCTTATATCACAGGCTAGAA
The DNA here is from genome assembly GCF_000001405.40 of Homo sapiens. NCBI lineage: Eukaryota > Metazoa > Chordata > Mammalia > Primates > Hominidae > Homo > Homo sapiens. The sequence continues at coordinate 355,441 of NT_187606.1, read as the reverse complement.
ATAATGGCTCCTGGTCTGGATTTTCCCCGTTAGATTTTTTCCCCCATTAGACTATTCCCATTAGATAACAAATATCTGACCATCATGTCTTGGGGCTAGTCTCTCCTTCAGCTAAGCTCAAGCTCAGATGGTCTTATAATGCAGGCATTCAGTGCCAGGCTCTTGTTGCCATTGCTAATGCTGCCATCACACTCCAGGTGCCTTTGTACTCTTGGGGAAGGCTTCCGAAAATTTGAACAGTGACTCAGCTGTAAAACCGACAGGAGCTGGCATAGAAGGGTGAAAGTAGAGAAAATTAACAATCAGTCTAAAAATATCACTGCTGATTTGGTCTCTTATACCCTCTGAGGTAGCATTAATGAACTGGAACCCTCTGCCAGGTCCTCTCCTCCCCATGACTTCCCTGAGAGATGTCTGTAGCTGATTTCCTGCCAGCATGTGAATGGGGATGGGTACGTCTGTTCTAGGAAGAGCACAATGTCTTACCCATTTTTAGAAGATAGGAATTTGCTGGACACTTGGACACCAGAGCTGGAGGCACTTGGTAAACCTCAGACTTTCCATGATCCCTTGTGTTCTGGAGGCCAGGAAAGAACAGAGCAAAGAGGTCAGGGCCTTGGCCGTTATTGGAGATTGACTCTAGGACTTCTCACCACCCCTCCCCCTCCTCTAATCCATCTAGGTTAATACTTGACATTTGGAATTATGAAGTTGTGTGCCCCATGATGGGGAGTGGACTTTGAGATGAGACACTGGCCTGCATTATAAGGGACCTGTCATTTCCACTGGATTTTAGTTTGTGTGGCTTAAAGAGAATGCCTTTCCAGTTAGGTATGCTCGTGGCTTTGAATATAAATGGGAACAGTCTAACGCTAGCTATTTTGCTCCTTTCCTTCTGATTCCCAGCTGGTGGAAATCGGTGCTGCGTACTCAGCAACCTTACATAGGGCAGGTATGGTCTCATGAGCTGGGAGCAAGACAGGTTTTCTTTCTTGAAATGAGGTCCCCCCACTTCCCTTTGTCTTTGCTGCTTTGCTGCTTTCTTTCCATTGTCTTTGCTGCTTTCCTTCCTTTGATCTGTAGACACTCAGAGAACTGCCTGGCCAGACCCTATAGAGGTACAATTAGGTCACTCTAGGGCATCTGACCATGGGTGGCAGTTTCCACAAAATTCACTTGTTCTGTGGGTTGAAGGAAATATCAAACCAGCTGGCAAGTTCTAGGCCTCTTGTCTTCTTGGTATCTTCTAGTCAAATTTACAGTATATCCCTTCTGATTTAATATTTGCAGGAAACTGATGCATGGAGATGCTGACATCCCACGTGTTAATTCTGGGGCACCCTGATCCTATTCTCTAGGATGGCATTGCCCCTTTCTGAGCCATCAATCCAAGTCCTTTCCCCGTTTTTCTATGTGGTTGGTATATAATTCAGTGAGACACTCTTTCTTGCTCCTGTACTTGAATGTAGGAGTGTATTGCAGTGGCCCTGAAGATCCCAGTAGAGTCTGGGGAGGGTTGATTAGGACAGAGTGATTTCCACCCTGCCCCTCCTCAAGCAGAGGAGCTTTCTTCAACCTTTTTCTCTTTGAAGAAATTGAGACTCAGGGAAGAAGTATTGTCGCAGATGTGATGCGGTGAGTCACTGGTTTTTAAACCTCTGTTTTGGCGATGGGCTGGGTAGGGATGAGTTAAGGTTTATTCCCCTAAATCTGTATTACACTCTAAGTCAACATTGTGTCCTTAGGCTGGGCGCAGTGGCTCACGCCTGTAATTCCAGCCCTTTGGGAGGCTGAGGCGGGTGGATCACAAGGTCAGGAGATCAAGACCATCCTGGCTAACACGGTGAAACCCCATCTCTGCTAAAAACACACACACACACAAAATTAGCCGGGTGTGGTGGCAGGTGCCTGTAGTCCCAGCTACTCGGGAGGCTGAGGCAGGAGAATGGCGTGAACCCGGGAGGCAGAGCTTGCAGTGAGCTGAGATCACGCCACCGCACTCCAGCCTGGGCAACAGAGCGAGACTCCGTCTCAAAAAAAAACAAAACAAAAAAACAAAAAAAACCATTGTGTCCTTAAATTGAATATCCTTGATAGAAAAGGGTAGGGCCTTAGCGTACTGGCTCTATGGAATACGTACTCTCTGTCTTTCAGTAGAATTCAGCAGTCATTGTTCACCTGCTTTTTGCCAGATGTTGAGCTAATTGCTATTGGAGTAGGATGGTAAAGATTGGTCTTGGTATGCTTGGTTGAGAAGGCACAACTTTTTACACATGTGGGCCTGCAAATATCTATGCAGATTTTTTTGAGACTTTAAAAAGCATGTTTAAAAGATTATTTCTTCTAATAGAGACTCCAAAAGTACTCAATTACTGTCTTATCCTCTGGGATCCTAGTTCCTATTACTTGTGCTTGATTTCCCTCTGCTGATTAGATAAGTTACCTTGAAAGAGGCAAAGAAAGCCAAATGGGAATTGACTTGTTTTTCTTCCTGTCATTAAAAAAAAATGGAAATAATTTCAAATTTATAGAAGTTATACAAATAAAATTATACAAAGAATATTTGTAATCCTTTTTATCCAGAACCTCCTATTGTTCGTGTTCATTTTACCCCATTTGCTTTATCATTTGCACATTCTCTCTCCATGTATCAATACATAATTGTTTTCTGAATCATTAAGAGGAGAGATAATTGGCCCAGGCACGGAGGCTCACACCTGTGACCTGAGTACTTTGGGAGGCTGAGGCAGGAGGATTGCTTGAGCCCAGGAGTTCAAGACCAGCCTGGGCAACAGAGTGAGATCCTGCCTCTACCAAAAAAAAAAAAAAAAAATTAGTCAGACATGGTGGCATGCCGCTAGCTACTTTGGAGGCTGAAGTGGGAGGTTGAGACTGCAGTGAGCTGTAATTGTGCACCTGCGCTCTAGCCTGGGTTACAGAGGGAGACCCTTGCTCAAAAAAAAAAAAAAAAAAAAAAAAGAATAGAGATGATCTTACATACATTCATATGTAACAAAACAGTTAACTTTAGTCAATTTAAAGTTGATAACACTACTTTGATTAAACTGTCATTCATATTCCAGTTTTGTCAAGTGACCCAGTAATGTCCTTAAATCCTTAATAACATTTTTCTCTTTCTGCTCTAAGTAGGCCCTTGCTCCTTTTGGTTTTGCTCCGTGTGAGCTTACAAAGTCCCTTGGGTTGTCTTGAATGTTTTTCACAGTGATCAGCTTGTTCTAGCCATCACTTTTCCTGAAACTATGATAATCCTTACCATTCTTTTTTTATATTCTTATTTGTTCATGGTTACTGTGTCTGTCTTGCCTCTCTGTGTTGTCCTCCACTCCCACCCAGTGTTTTCAGAGAGAAGGAACTCTTAAGTAAATGTCCTATATAGCCTTGTTGATTTCTTTATCTGATGCCTTTTTTTTCTCTTAAGTATTTACCATTTTAGTGTGAGAACTGTATTTAAATTATAACCTCCAGTCTTTTTTTTTTTTTTGAGACAGGATTTTGCCCTGTTGCCCAGTCTGGAGTGCAGTGGCACGATCATGGCCCACTGCAGCCTCAACCTCTTAGGCTCAAGTGATCCTCCTGCCTCAGCCTCCTGAGTAACTGGGACTATCAGTGCATGCCATAATGCCTGGCTGATTTATTTTTTTTAGAGACAGGCCTTACTATGTTGTCCAGGGTGGTCTTGAACTCCTGGTCTCAAGCAGTCCTCCTGCCTCAGTCCCCCAAGGTACTGGTATTACAGGCGTGAACCACTGCACTTGGCCATAACCTCCAGTCTTTAAGTCAGAGGAAATAATTATATATGAAAGATGTTTGGGTATGATAAGGCAATTGATTAGGAATTTGAAGTAGCAAGCCTCGGGTTTGTATGGATCAGTGCTTCTAAAACTTAATGTGTATACACATCTCCTGGGGATCTTTTAAAAATGCAGATTCTGATTCAGGTCTGGGGTGGGACCCAAAATGCATTTTTAATGAGTTCCTGTAGTGGCAAGGCCCTAGATAGATTTAAGACCCAAATACTCTAGGTCCTAAAGCAGGGACTTCTGGTAGGGAAGATCAGTAGTCTGTAGTTGATGGTCTTACAGGATTCAGACAAAGGAAAAGTGCTGAGGAATGTGAAGACAAACAGATGTGAAGTCCTAAAGATTAAAAAAAAAAAAAAAAGTAGCTAGTGAATGGTACTTGGAGTGGGAAAGCATCCAGTCTCTGTCACTCATTAGCTGTTACTTTTACAAACTGACTGCCCCAAGTCTTGGTTTCCTTTTGTTAAGATGCAGTAGTAACAGCCACTTCTTAGGATTTGGTGAAGACTGTTTACCTAAAGTGCTTCTAACACAGTGTTTGACATGTGCTAGACGTTCAGTAAGTTGTTAGAAGCTTAACTGAACCTGGTCCAGATTGCGGAACAGATGAATGACCATGAACTGTGAGCACTTAACGAAGTAGAGTTCGTTAGTGACCAGCGTGGGTTTTCATGCCATTTTCTACTTAGGTTTATTGCCAGATTAGAGGATCACTACAGAGATAATTCCTAGCTTTGTACAGGAATTTGACAAAGCCTCAAGATACCTTTGTAGGCACAGTAGAGAACTTTCAAGTTAGCAGAGGTAGATGGGTTTGTGGCTGGTAAAACAGGTGTACCAACACAATAGTGAATACAAATGATGTGAATGAGGAAAGGGGTCTGTAGTGCTTACCATGTTGCTTTTTTGACTCTTTCCAAAATACCTTTTAAAAAAAACCTTGGGTGAGGACAGTTACCAGAGCCCATACTTGCCATCTTTGGTGTTTTCAGATACAAGCCTTTGGGGCAGCATCCCCTCTTGAGTATTTTTTCTGGCGTTCTGCTTTATGCTGTTTCTCCCTTGACAACTCTCAGAGCTCTCTGCTGTGCCACTTGAAACTCCCCTTTTCCAGGGTTAACAAACTGGCTTTCTTTTTTTTACTGGTGAATGCTCCCCCCATTTTCTGCTTTAGCTGAAGACTTTTCCTTTAAGATGCTGCTATGCCAAGTAGAGCCTACTCATTGTCCCAGGTCTCTGAAAATCTCATTGTTTAACTCCAGGCCCAGTTATCACCATCGGTCTTTTTAGTGTCCACATGAATGACTTATCTAATATTTCAGACTTCTCACATTCTAAGTCAGCCACCTCTACCATACTCTGGACCTTGCCATCCTCAGAGCTCTTAATCTTCAGTGTCCCACCTCTTCGTGTTTATATTGTCTGCCACCCTCATTCCTCTTATAGCTATCAGCCTATTGAAATCACTGGTTTTCCATTTATTTGCTCCTAATCTATTGACTTTGTTCTGTCTTTAGCCTATAATGCACGACCCATTCTTCATTTCCTTTGTTGCTGTTATCATCAATTCTGTTGTCACATTTATTCCTTCATACCCCCTTGGGGGAACAAAATCATAGCTCTGTATGGCTTCAGTGTCCATCCAGGTATCTGAGCTCTGCTGGAGAAAATCCTTTAAGTCCAACTTAGTTTTCCTCTTTGCTGGACACTGGTTCCTACTGGTGCTTTTCCTTAGTTTCCCTGGTCAGCCTTCTTTGCTATCCACACAACAGCTCTGCAGATCTCCTTTTCCGTGTCTCTCAGTTACCCTTAAGATAAAATCAAGCTGGGTGCAGTGGCTCATGCCTGTAATCCTAGGAGTTTGTGAGGCTGAGGTAAGAGGATTGCTTGAGCTCAGGAGTTCGAGACCAGCCTGGGCAACATAGATGCTACCTCTACTAAAAATTTTTTTTAAATCAGCCAGATGTGGTAGATATCACATGCCTGTAGTCCCAGCTGTTCTAGAGGCTGAGGTGGGAAGATCGCTTGAGCCCAGGAAGATTGAGGTTGAAGTGAGCCACTGCACTCCAGCCTGGGCAACAGAACTAGGCCCTGTCTCAAAAAAAAAAAAAAAAACAAATGACAATAAGATAAAAACTATTTAACCTAGTTGTCAGAGTTCTTTGTGATTTGAATTGTTACCTCACTGTTCATCACCCTAACTTGTTTTTGTGAAATGTGGAAAAGGATGAGGCCCTCCAGGGCATTGGTACCACTTTTAAGACCAGTGCATGTGATCTGTTGATTTTTCACAGTGCCTCTTTGCCAGGCTTTGCAGCATTAGGGTGGAACCTTGAATAAAATCTTCACATATTCTGCCTTCTCAGGGCATGGACTCTACAGGCTTTGATTTTGGATTTCTATCAGGCAGGAGTTTGTCAAGGAACTTTTTTTTTTCAGAGTCTTGCTCTATCACCCAGGCTGGAGTGTAGTGGCGCAATCTCGGCTCACTGCAACCTCTGCCTCCTGGGTTCAAGCAATTCTTGTGCCTCAGCTTCCCGAGTAGCTGGGATTACAGGCGTGCACTTTCACGCCTGGCTAATTTTTGTATTTTCAGTAGAGACGGGGTTTCGCCATGTTAGGCAGGCTGGTTTCAAACTCCTGACCTCAGGTGATCTACCTGTCTCAACCTCCCAAAGTGCTGGGATTACAGGCGTGAGCCACCACACCCGACCAAAGGATTATTTGAGAAGTTTGTCAGGGATTATTTCTGATGGTTATCAATCCAAGCATTTTGAGACACTTAGTTTTAGCATACAGTTAAATTTTAGAGCTTTGAAAACTGCTTCAAAAGGCAATTTCAAAGTTAGGAATGTTTCCTTGAAAAACAAAATGCTAAACTAACTCCTTGCTGGATGTGCTGTGGCTCCACCCCACCCACATCCCACAACATACATACATATTAGACTGGCTAGATATAAAAAGATTGACCAAACCAGGTGTTGGCCAGGTTGTAGAGGGACTGAAACTCTCATCACTGCCGGTGGGAATGTAAAATGGTATATAGTTCCATCTACTTGGAAAACAGTATTATGACAGTCTCTTTAAAAATTAAAGCTATTTTTACTACAAAATAATAACTAGATAAATAGATATATCTACAGTTTCCCCTGTGTTAAATGTTAAGGATACACCTACCATGTCTTATCCAAAAGGGGAGGTCATATACCTAAAGGAGCGTGGGCTGGTCTGGTCCCATATTAACAGATGTTTGGGATCTTGTGTATATGTTCCATCAATGGCATGTGTGTCTCGTACCCTGAAAGCATGCATTGATTTTGATTTCAGTCTTGAGAGGTTTATTCCTGCTTCTTGGGACTCCAGCTCCAGACAAGCATTCAAACTGACTTAGAGGCCTGGGAGGAAACCAGCTCTGGGTGACCTGTGTTTCATTTCATTGCTAGTCAGGGCGGAAGTGGGGCCAATCACAGCCAGTTATTCAGCACTTACACATATGATTTTGGTTTTACCTCAGCCATTTTGAGGTGAATGTTCTCATTCTTCAGATGAAAAAAAAAAAAAACTTCAAATTAAGGCTTCTTTCCTAGATTTAGCACACCCATAGCTCCATGGCAAAGCCCTCTTATTCCTTATTCTCATAGATAGAGGGTGTGCTTTGCTTAGGTTCCCCAAGGCCAAGTGTGGAAAACGTTGCTCTTTTTTTGTTTCATATTTAAATATTTATTGTGTGCTGGGTGCTACTGTGCTGAGCTCTTTCCATCTGGTATCTAATTATTGAGCTGTCCTAACAATGTCATGAAATAGTTGATACTCCACCCTAAATGCCAGTGAGAAAACAGAGGGTCAGAGAAGCTAAGTGAGCTTCCCAGAGCTCACAGACATATACAAGAGGTGTCAGACACAGGGTTTAATCCTAAGTTTAAGTCAAAGAATGGGCTTAACCATGTCATTCTGCTTCCATCCTAAACATTTCAAGTTCAGGGGTACATTGAAGAGAATCTGTATATGCTAGAAGTTTGCATAAGTGAACCTCTCACATGAGGTGGTATGCTTATGCTATACCAGATTTCTGGGGTGTGGCCTGAAATTCTATATTATAGCATTAGAAAGGTGAGAATTCTTCTAATAAACAAATCGTCAGGCAGTAAAGATGAAGTATGGTTTGGGATTTCTAACTGTGCTGTAGGTGTATCCAGGCATTAATAGCAGCTGTGACCAGGGACCCCAGTGACAGTTTCCCAAGTACTGGCATTGACCTTTTAAGCCTGGGTAGTATAACCCAGCAGTTTTGCTGCTATTGTAACAGCAGGAACTCTGGTCTTCAGTCAGCTTGTAACTTCCTCTAACAAGGCCCTTGCGGCCAGGTCTCAGAGCTGGATATATATCTGTTCATTATATTGTGTTTTGCTGGCATGCTTTTAGTTGTCTTGCCTTTGGTATCTCTTGTTGGGTGGCTGTAGGAGAAGAAAGAGGCTGTTGGCTGCAAAGAAAACTAAGAGGTCATGAGGTTTCCTTTTTTGTCCTCCTAGTACTGAGCATGCTCCATAACCCACTGGGAAATGTCCTAGGAAAACCCCCCTTGAGCTTCCTGCCTCTGGATCCCCTTGGGTCTGACTTGGTGGACAAGTTTCCAGCACCCTCAGTTAGAGGATCACGCCTGGACACCCGGCCCATCCTGGACTCTCGATCTAGCAGCCCCTCTGACTCAGACACCAGTGGCTTCAGCTCTGGATCAGATCATCTCTCAGATTTGATTGTATGTAACTCATTTGGGAAAGGGGAGTTGTGGGTGGAGTTGCCTGTGTGTGTCCAAGGGGAAGGAGGGTACAATATCTATGGGATGCCTGTCCCCTGGAATGCAGGCTGGGAGATGGGATGAGGGGAGGAGTGGAGATTATTGTGGACATTTGTAGAGTTCTCATCCTTAACAGGATAGAGGATGCTTTGAAGACCCATTGAGCAATACATTGCAGGACCTGAGCTCAGGACTCTCATTTTACTAGCTACTCCAAGAGTACTGGAAAACACTTAATTTCAAAAGTAAACGTGAGGGCCCTGGCAGTGTTCTGTTTCTTTACCTACACGGGGTGCTTTCTTTAGCCCTTAAACAGTGTCATTTATGTACTTTGATGTATGATATCTCACAATTAAGTAATAACGTAAAAAATTTTTAAGTAGTAATTAGCAGAGATAGGATTTTAATCCAGATCTGACTGTAGCTCCTGTATTTTTTCCACTGACCCGTGTCAGCTTTCAATTCATGCCATGATGAATCTATGAAACATTGCCTCAGTTAATTTTTGCATTTCACGTTCCTTATCTACAGCCATGTATGATGCGTGTGGTCTTCATGCTAAGTGGAGTTGGCAAATGAATTAGAATAGGTAGGGGATATTATAGATAGATTAGTACAGATAATATAGATAGGGGATAGTAGAAGTAAATACAGGTGGGATTGGCAGTGAGAAATTACCCCAAAATAAGAATACAGTTTCAGATGCCTTATAAGCATTTTTGTTGCCAAATCTCCCGAGCTGAATGTGCAGTGAATAGAATTACTTATTTTACCACCTTCTTCTCTTCCCCATACCCAGGACTGGCAACTTTGGTTGTGATCGCCTGTCAGCCTGTCCTAGAATATGGAAGTTGGCGATGGTGTTCTCACTGACCATTGGTTTTATCTGTTAAGGCTGCATTTCTAAAAGGGCAGTCACATGCGGGTCTCTTTGCTTCTCTGGGCTGCAGTTACCTCTTCTGTAAAATGGGGTCAGATACAGTGCTGGTAGTTCTGTCTATATTACTTAGATTGGACTCAGTCTTGGAAATTTATCTCATGACTGATTAATATTTGGGGATTTTAAAATATTCTGTCAACGAGTTATTTTGATAATGTATCATTTCACACACGTAAATTAGAATTTAAAGGTTTGACACAGCTTATGGTGTTCTGATACATTTATGATACAATGCAGAGCTCTCATAGATAGCATTTTTGGCATTCGGCTTTCTAGGAATCTGACCAAAGAAAACACAAAATATGAAGAAGCTACATCTTAATTTTTATTTATGGTTCTGAAAACTTGGAAAGTATATATATAACAGGAAGAGTATGGGTCAGTGAGATGTACCTTGTTCCCTAAATAGAATATGATAAATGCATTTTAAATGGTTATAAAGACTGGCAATATGGAAAAGTTGAATGAGGAGAGAAGGAGCATTTGTTTAAATTATAGTATAACTAGAACTAATCAAAATTGCTCAGGAAGAAAGTCTAAAAGAATATATATCAAATGCTAAATGTCTATTGGATGTTTTTAATAATTTCTATAATGTGATTATTACTTTATAACAAAACTAGCCTTTAAAACCCTGTCTTCCTTTTTCCTCCCCTAGTCAAGCCTTCGCATTTCTCCACCTCTGCCCTTCCTGTCTCTGTCAGGGGGTGGTCCCAGAGACCCTTTAAAGATGGGGGTAGGGTCTCGGATGGACCAAGAGCAAGCTGCTCTTGCTGCAGTCACTCCCTCCCCAACCAGTGCTTCAAAGAGATGGCCAGGAGCTTCTGTGTGGCCGTCCTGGGACCTCCTCGAAGCTCCCAAAGACCCCTTCAGCATAGAGAGAGAGGCCAGGCTGCACCGACAAGCTGCAGGTGAGTGTGCCTTGAGCATGTGTGAGGCCTGAGGCCTCATTTTGGGAGCAGAGAGGAAGTGACCTTAGTTCACACACTTGTGAACTGTCTAGAGGAGGCTTGGTTGCATGGTGAAGTCTCCAGATCTGCAAAGAATTATCTTTCTGTGGAGTAAATACTAATGGGAACAGACTCAGGAACTTCTTGAGGCTGAGTGGAGAGGAAAGAGGCAGGTTATCTGGCACATGCATGTGCCACAGCACAAGGAGCTGGCTCCATCTCTCACTTGTGCCGTTCCGTGGAGACTGGCTGTGTGCTGCTCTTGCTTTTACTTTTTCCACGGGTGGATGTCCTCAAGAGAAACTCTGGAAGGGATATCCAGAATTTTGTCTACCCTCTCCACATTCTAATTCAAAGACCATCAGACACAACTCATGCTGGAGCTTTCTTCCCTGAGGCTTTCTGATTGGTATAGTCAGGGATGCACTGGGGAAGGAGGGGTCCATTTGTCAACCTCTAAAGTGAGGAGTGTCACCAGATGTCCTGGTCTCTTAGGAATCCTTAAGGTTCTGACATTTAAATTTAATCTTAGGCTGGCCTGGGTGGCTCAGCACTTAAGCAGAGGCAGCAGGATGGCTTGAGCCGAGGAGTTGCCCAGCCTGGGAAACATAGCAAGACCCCATCTCTATATATTTTAAAAGGTTTAAAAAATAAATTATCCTAAATATGTATTAAATGTGTTTTTCATCTTTGTCTAGTACTGCTTCAGGGAGATATTCATTAACCACTGGCTCTTCAGAGGTCCTGAATTTGATGACTAAGTTAGTGTTAGTTTCTGCATTCCATTTGTTTCCATAGGCTTCAGTGTGTCTGTTTGCTCACAGAGTTGGGCTGGATCTCATTCTCCTCTGATAGTGCTGTGCCCTGTTCACCTAATGATTTTGGCAACCCATCTTTGTACTTTCTCTGGTGCCATTGTTTTCCTGTGAAATGACATTACCATGCTTTTGGATGAGACCATTATATTCTGTTTTTGTCGTAAAAGATTGCTGACATTGCCCAGTTTCTTGCTGTAGCAACACGTTGGGCCTATTCCTTTTAGGAAATATCCTTCCACATCTTTGTCCTGAATGAAAATGATAGTTCCTTTCATTGGCTGTCTGCCTCTTTGCTGAAAGAGGAGGGTGAAATAAATGGGCAAGAACTAGCTAGTCCTCACTAAGGTCAGTCTCTGATTTGGAAAGGTACAAACAGTGGGGACAGGATTGAAGACTGATTCATTACGTTACCATGCTGGCATCAAGGAAGGCCCATTGTCTATTTGGGTGCTATAAAGATGAGTCTGGCTTGGAACAGTTGTGACATTCTTGTCTTACTGGGTTGCCAGTGCTGGTTTTTATTGGCAGTGTCCTAACTTCTGTGATTCATGAGTTCAGAGCCAAGACAAGGAAACAGAATAGAATGTTTCTCATTTGAACATTGGGGAGAAGGCCCATTTGTACCAGTAAGCCTGCAAGATGTTGTATTGCTATGTTTATTTTCAAGTAATTATGAATTAGTACTGTAAGCAATAACAGGATAAAACTGCTTTGTGGTTAGCATATTAGTTGAATGTTTGAAAATAACATGGGGTGTAAATTTTTACCCTACACATCTGGTTTGGTATTCCTTTCAATTTTAGTGGGGACAGAATTAGCAAAGTAGGATTATCATACTTGACTGAGTGGATTGGTGAGACATAGATTTCTTGCTTTTCAGAATAATCATGGATATTCTCTCAGGCATCTGGGCAAGGATTGTGGCCAGTCAGGTTCTTACTGGACAAGTTCACCCCAGGGAAGAGTGTGGCTTTGTTGATTCTCTAACCTCCCCTGTTTATCTCTTTGCCATCTACCAAAGCTGTGAATGAAGCCACCTGTACCTGGAGTGGCCAGCTTCCTCCCCGGAACTATAAGAACCCCATCTACTCTTGCAAGGTGTTTCTAGGAGGTGTTCCTTGGGATATTACAGAAGGTGAGCTGTCTCTAAGACCTGCTTTAAGAGTTGAAGGGTGGGGCATGTCTTTCAGGAGCATGAAACTTGGAATTGAGGCCAGGGGCTGAATGCCCTGCCTGAGCTCAGGGTATTACATGAGTGTCTGAGGGGAGAGGTGCATTTCATAGACCCCCATAGTGCTCCTTATGTCGGGAGCTTACACCGGAGATCAGCATTCGTTTCTGAGTTGTTTGTCAGTGGGGATGAGCCAGGGAGGAGAATGCTGGTGATTCTGTGTTTGTGTCTTTACTGGGAAAGATGGTTCCTCAGCTTCTGCCATTCTTTTCTGTCTCTTTGCAGCTGGATTAGTTAACACCTTCCGTGTTTTTGGCTCTTTGAGTGTGGAGTGGCCTGGTAAGGATGGCAAGCATCCCCGGTGTCCTCCCAAAGGTAATATGCCTAAAGGTAATAAAGACATGGTAGGAGCTTTTTTTTCCCTTCCCTAGTACATAACTGCACCTAGGGGTGCTGGGATGTCACAGCTGCATGTTGGTAACATGGTGGGCACTCCAGGGCACAGACCTGCCATCTGTCAGCACTTTCTCTTCAACCTAACATGTCCCTCTGTTTCTTCTGAGCTAATGTTCCATCTGTCCAGACTTACACAGCAGTGGGAGTTGCCTCTGAAACCCCTTCCTTGTACACTTCTCTCTAAACCTGAACCCAAGCAGCACCTTTCCTCTCAAAATAAGGCGTTTGAAAAGCTTTCCCTTGCCTGCCTGTCCTGCCCAGTTACGTTGTTGCCTGACCTAATTCTGAAGTCCCTTTGGAGTTGGCAGGAATGAGGACCAAGCATCTGATTCCTCACTGGTCTGAAATGAGATCCCTTCCCTGTAGAAAGGAGCAGGTGCTATTTTCACCCTGCCCCATCTTCATTGAACTGAACTAATGGTTTAAGTAGGTGTTTAAAGCAATACCTGCCATCTTTCCTGCCACCAGGAAAGCCTGGCTCTGCTGACCTGAACATGCTCTGTGTTCTTGCATAGAGAGCTGTGGTAATGGTGGGATCCTCTGTCTCAGCTTGCCAGTCCTTTCCTTCACCAGGGTGGGAGGGAGGCCCACAACCCAGGGCATCTGCATAGCAAATGCTTCCACTCAACACGACTTTTCAGGAGTAAAACAAAAATGTATCTTATACACAAGACCTTCTTTCTTGGAAGAAACGCCCTGCTGCAAAGCCAAGGCTGAGGAGTGGCCACCTAAGGGATATTAATGCGATTTTTCCTCTCATTGGGAATAGGGTATGTGTATCTGGTCTTCGAACTAGAGAAGTCTGTCCGATCCTTGCTTCAGGCTTGCTCTCATGACCCGCTGAGCCCAGATGGCCTGAGTGAATATTATTTCAAGATGTCCAGCCGAAGGATGCGCTGCAAGGAGGTGAGTTAGCGTGATGTCCTTTCTGGATCGAGGGTCTTGGAATATTGAGGCACTGGATTTTCTTGTGGTAGGTGGATAGGCAGGCTGCAGGCAAGGAGTATTCCTGCTGAGGCAAGAAGGCTCTTCTTGTCCCACAATAAAATAGCAGTATCCTCTCAATTACATTAAAAAAAAAAAAAAGCAACCTTTGGGACTTAATGGGGTGTGTGCATGCACACATGCGCATGCCTGCCCATGGTAATCAAACTGTCTGCCCGTCTTTATTCTGCTCTTCTTTCTTGTAGCCAACACTTTGGTTTCAAACCTCTTGTCTTAGAAATGAAATTGAGAACAGCAAACTTCTCTACTTGGACTTAACTGATAAACCTACAGCTGTTTTTCCCTGGTCCTGCCCTTCCTGTGCCTTGTGACCTCCCAGTCTGTGGGGGTGAATTCCTCTTTAGCCCACACCCACCTGTGGGTCACTTCTTCATTCTTATTCAGGGCTTTATTTAGTTTTGTGGGTTTTCCCCATAAGATTCTCTCTTCCTACGCTTTTTCTAATATCAGCCTTATGTATCCTTGGCAGCATGGGTCTCTAACGAGTTTATCTCACCTGGGGATCTCATTGCACATTCTTGGGCCTTATCCCAGACTTACTGAATCACTCTGGGTGGAATTTAGGAATCTCCAACTGAATAAAGATCCCCAGGTGGTTCTAGTGGGTAGTGTTTGAGAACCACTTGTCAAAGCAAGTTTTGAGCTCAGGAATCAGTGCGGTGGTAAAATCGGATTTGAGAGCACACAACTTTTGTGACATTGGACTAGATATTTAATATCTCTGAAACTTTGTTTCCTCTTCTCTTCTATAAGATGGGAAACTAAAATGCCTATTTTAGTAAAAAAGATCAGTGGTTGCCAGGGGTTTAGCAGGAAGGGATGAAGAGACATAGCACAGAGGATTTTTAGGGCAGTGAAACTATTCTGTATATGGTGGATACATGTCATTATACTTTGGTCCAAACCCATAGAAGGTAAAAGAAACACCAGGATTGAACTCTGATGCAAACCATGGACTTTCGGTGGGGATGATGGGTCAGTATAAAAAAATGTTCCACTCTCATGCGGGATCCTGATAGTGGGGAAGTCACGCAAGTGTGGGGGCAGAGAGTATTTGGAGAATCCCTGTACTTTCTGCTCAGATTTACTGTAAACCTTAAAGCTTCTCTAAAAAAATCTATAGGGTAAGAGGAGAAATGCCTATTTTATTGGGATGGTCACATTAGATTTAAAATAAATCCATGTAACAAAGCTGGCTCTTGTTCTGTGTTAGAGAGAGGGCAGGCTCATCCTCTGGCTGCCCACAGTGACCCACAGCTTCCCTACCTTCTCTGCTTCTTTATTCTCTGGAGCTTGTGTAGTCTTCCCACCTTAGTATGTTCTAGGACTTAATTAACATGCTCCTTTTTCCTCCCCTCCTGCTTTCACAACCAGAGATGGCCATATGCATATCACAGAGCCCTTCCCCTTCCTCCTCAGTGCCCCTGTAGACACCATCCTGTCTCCCATTCCCTCCCATCACCTTACAGGGATTTAATCTTTCTTTGATTCACTGGCTATAGGCTGATGCAGTTCTCCTTCCTCTCTACTTTTCTTTTTCCTTTGTGTTCCTCTCCCCGCCAGCACCAACATAGCCAATATAGCCAATCTTTGACTCCCTTCTTCTTTTCTAGTTCAGATAAATGACTCACTTTGTGGCTTCTCTCACCTTTAGACCCAGATTCACCTTTCTAGCCTCATGTCCTACCTGAGCCTCACCTTCCTGTGGGATCCTTCTTCGGGATGTCCTGTAATCCCAAACTCTTTTGTGGGCAAAATTGGCTTTTTCATCTTCCAGTGAAATTGGCTCCCCTCTTGTAACTTCTGCCAGGTCCTCTCATCCCAAGACCGTGTAGGCCCAGCACCTACCAGGCCTGATTCTTCCTTGCTTGCCCATCCTGCTTATGCTGTCTGAGTACTGCAGACTCTTCTGTTGAAGAATCTCTTTGGTCTTGGCCTGTTCTCTGCTCGTTGCCACCAGCCTTGTCCAAGTCTTAATCACCTGTCCTTTGAAACTACTGTTTTTGCCTCCTTGCTGGTTTCTGCCTCAGATCTCTTCCTGCTTCAAGACATATTTTTAGATCTTCACTTCATTCTGGACTCCTCCACCTGCTCTACAAGGTTTTGTTCCAGGTTCAGGAGATTCAGAGGCAAAGGACATGGTCAGCCCCAGCCCTTTAAGACTCCAGGGATCTTGTATGTGACTTTCTACCCAACCTCTCGCCAGTCATTTCCACTGCTCTGGCACAAACCCTCTGAAGGCTAGGTTGGGCCAGTAACCATCTCATACAAATATCGTAAGCACTCCCACCCCTCTGTCCTTCAGGATCCTAGCCTTTAATTTCTCTGTGAGTCCTTCCTTTCTTGAGGACTTCAGATTATGCCCTTTTCATCAGTGTCCACAGCCCTTTGTTGGAACTACACAGTTGGAGGTTGAAATAGAATGCTGGGCTCCTGGGTTTGGCCATGTGGTACTTTTTTGCTTACTCTCCAGCATGAGTGAGTACTGTGTCCACTTCTACCATTCTGGACACATGGACTCAGTAAAATTCAACTCCAGTTGGGGTGGAGTCAGGGTGGTTTATTGGACGCCTGTGTGCCTGAGATTGGGCAACAGCACCTTTTCACCCCTGTAAGGGCGTTAGCTTAGCTTCAGTATCTCCAGAGCACGTACCTTGCCGTGCAAGCACCTCTCTCTCTGTGGCTCTCTGCCAGGGCTGATACACCTTTGGGTGGTTTTCAGGTGCAGGTGATCCCCTGGGTATTAGCCGACAGTAACTTTGTCCGGAGCCCATCTCAGAGGCTTGACCCCAGCAGGACGGTGTTTGTCGGTGCTCTGCATGGAATGCTAAATGCTGAGGCCCTGGCAGCCATCTTGAACGACCTATTTGGTGGAGTGGTGTATGCCGGGATTGACACAGATAAGCACAAGTATCCCATTGGTAAGTGTCCCACTTCTGTGTGCGAAAGCTTGGTTGGCCCCTGGGAGTAGACCAAGATTGTGATACTTCCCCATGGGAGTGAGGAGAGAGGCCTGACCCAGGTCTGCAGATCAGCATATACCAGCACCATAATATCTTTTTCTAGACAAGTCACGAGTACTGGCCCTTCTGTATCTAGCCCTCTACCCACCATCTCCCACGCAGTGGGAGAAAAAGCTATTGGAGACTACAGGAGGTGATAAGAAGTGAGAGTGAGGTAGGAACTTTGTTGGAAGCTCAGAGTTCACAGCGAAACCAGTTTGGAACAGACAACAGGTACTATTTCATGAAAAGGCTGCAATTCTCTGAACTTGCCTGGAGTTTTTTATTAAAAGTTCTTGAAAAGCTCTGGCATTGTCTAAGGTCAGAGACCAGGTCAGGCTGGAGGAGGACTTTCTGAGTGAGTCAGGCAACAGAGTGTGGCCTGTGCTTTCCTAACTCAGAAGTCTGTGGGCCTAACCACTAGGTTTTGATCAGCTCCTCTGAGAAAGGAGGTCAATTCGCCAGTCCTGGCAAAATGTCAATGATGAGGTATGGAGGTGGAGCAGAGCCTGACCTCTGTGATTAACATGTGGCTAACCCACCTCCCCAAATGCTTAGTCTTCACACCCACACTGAATCTGGTCAGGAAGGAGCACCATGTACTCACCAATACTGTGCAGCAGATTGAGAACAGGGACTTCAGAAGCCCCAGGAGCGGAGGAGGAACTTGGCAGGATGGGGCTTCTTCCAGCTCTCTTAATAGGTCTCCAGAGTGCCTAAGGGCTAGGAGAGGTTCAGTTCAACTGCTGGGCTTACCCTTCAGACAAGTGTTCTATCTGCATCTTGGCTTCCACTCTGAATCCTTTAACCTTAACCTATGCTCTACCTGCACTGAAGGAGTCCCTTATCTTTCCTTCCCATCTTGATCTGCAAATTCTTCCCCCATTCCTGAATGGTTCACGCTAACATGATCTCCACTGTCAAATATGGTACGAATATGGTAGCTACCAGCTAAATGTGGCCCCATTGAGTTTTGGAAACACAGCTGTTGTCACATTTGGAAATAATATTATTAACATATAGGGTTAAATAAAATTTTTTTTTTGAGATGGAGTCTCACTCTGTTGCCGTGCTGGAGTGCAGTGGTGCTATCTCAGCTCACTGCAACCTCTGCCTCCTGGGTTCAAGTGATTCTCCTGCCTCAGCCTCCTGAGTAGCTGGGACTACAGGTGTGCGCCACCACGCTCAGCTAATTTTTGTATTTTTAGTAGAGACGGGGTTTCACCATGTTAGCCAGGATGGTCTCCATCTCTTGACCTCATGATCCGCCCACCTTGGCCTCCCAAAGCACTGGGTTTACAGGTGTGAGCCACCGTGCCCGGCCAATAAAATATATTATTAAAATTAATGTCACCACTGTTTTAAAATTTCAGTGTGACTACTAGAAAATTTAAAGTTACATAAGGGCTGACCATGATGGCTTATACCTATAATCCTGGCACTTTGGGAGGCCGAGGTGGGGCAGATCGTTTGAGTCCAGGAGTTCAAGACCAGCCTGGACAATATGGTGAAACCCTGTCTCTACAAAAAAATACAAAAATTAGCCAGGCATGGTGGCTCATGCTTGTAGTCCCAGCTACTTGGGAGGCTGAGGCAGGAGATTGTTTGAGCCTGGGATGCAGAGGTTGCAGTGAGCTGAGATCACGCCATTACACTCCAGCCTGAGTGACAGAGGGAGACCCTGTCTCAAAAAATAAATAAAGTTACATAGTAGCTCACATTATATTTCTGTCGGACAGCACTAGTATCGTAAAGGGTTTCCTGCATTTTAAAAGAGTAGCATTAGGGCAGGCTCGGTGGCTCACGCCTGTAATCCCAGCACTTTGGGAGGCTGAGGCGGGCGGGTCACAAGGTCAGGAGATCAAGACCATGCTGGCTAATGGTGAAACCCGATCTCTACTAAAAATACAAAAAATTAGCTGGGTGTGGTGGCAGATGCCTGTAGTCCCAGCTACTCGGGAGGCTGAGGCAGGAGAATGGCGTGAAACCGGGAGGCAGAGCTTGCAGTGAGCAGAGATTGCGCCACTGCACACCAGCCTGGGCGAAAGAGCGAGACTCCATCTCAAAAAAAAAAAAAAAAAAAAAAAAAGTAGCATTTGGGAGAATTTGGTTAGAAGGGAAGCTTGTGTCTGTTGTCCTAGGTTCTGGTCGTGTGACTTTCAATAACCAACGGAGTTACCTGAAAGCAGTCAGCGCTGCTTTTGTGGAGATCAAAACCACCAAGTTCACAAAGAAGGTGAGTTGGCTGGTTTATGCCCTTACTCTGGGGTATATGAGAGGGGTTTGGGCAGTTACTACCCAGGGCAGGCCTGAGACCTGAAGCTGTTTGTGCTGGGTGTGTTTAGGGAAGTGAGCCAAATTCCTGAGAATTAACATTGAGGTTAGGGTTTGGGAGTGGGCTTGGTCTTTGTACGCCCAGGAGGAAGGGAACTGGGACTGTTGAGCCTCTTCAGTGTGTAGGGTGCCTTCCCTCACTGTGGTATTTCTTTGGCATTGCTCAGTAGCCTGACTTCCTATTTTCCAACCTTTTGGGAATCCTCCGAACACTTGCCTATACTGCTAATTGATAGAGGGCTGAGGTACAGTTTGCCTAGAAGACCAGGCATTAAGGTGTGTGGTTGCCTGAATCCCAGAGGCATCCAGCCTGACTGTGCATGGTGTATGAGTCTGTCCTCTAGAACTCCTTTCTGTACTTCAGGCCCATAATTCTCTCCAAGCCTCCTTTAAAACAGGCAAATATCCTGCATTCCAATATCCCGCATTCCTGTGTGTGGCCAATAATGTGCCCTTCTTCTATCGCCTATCGAGCCTCCTGGTAAGAAGAGCCACTTCATCATCTTATTTTGCCTTTGTGCAGGTTCAGATTGACCCCTACCTAGAAGATTCTCTGTGTCATATCTGCAGTTCTCAGCCTGGTCCTTTCTTCTGTCGAGATCAGGTGGGTCCGATGTCTATGAAGTCCCTGCCCTCTATTAAAAATTGTTGGCTGGGCGCGGTGGTTCACACCTGTAATCCCAGCACTTTGGGATGCCAAGGTGGGCGGATCAGGAGGACCAGCCTGGCCAACATGGTGAAACCCCGTCTCTATTAAAAATACAACAATTAGCCTGGCGTGGTGGCAGGCGCCTGTAATCCCAGCTACTTGGGAGGCTGAGGCAGGCGAATAGCTTGAACCCAGGAGGCGGAGGTTGCAGTGAGTCGAGATCACGCCACTGCACTTCAGCCTGGGACAGAGCGAGACTCCGTGTCAAAAAAAAAAAATTGTTATGCCAAGTTCATGACATTGAATGTTGGAGTTCTGAGGTACCCTGTGGTGTCTGAGAGCATAGAGGAGGCAGCAGTAATGTTTGCTGAAGGTCAGACCGGGACAGACATACTTTAGATAGCTTGATCCAGAACTCTTAAGAAAATATGTTGAATTGAGTCTTTATACTTTGGTCTTTTTCTTGCCTGGGATATTGCTATGCAGTATGCCACTATTGCTGAGAGGTGGTTTTGTAGATGATGGAAGCCTGGCTGGGTGTGGTCAGCAGCACGTGGGAGCCAGGCTCAGCTGCCTAACCCTGAAGCCTTCTAAGCTGATTTTTCTGTAAAGGAGGATGCCTCGTCCTCCTTTACATCTGAACTTCTGGACGACTTTGATATTTGCATCTGGGCTGTACCCACAGGTGTCAGCGACAGGCAGAAAGCAGCGAGGTGGCTTTCTATTGAATGTTCCTGGGTGATGGAATGTGGATCTGGATGTGTTTGGCAGTGCTTCTCAAACCTTAATTACAGACACATCACCTGAGGATCTTAGATTCTGATTCAGTGGGTTTGGGGCGGACCCTGAGATTCCATGTGTCCAACAAGTATCCAAGTGGTGTCAATGCTGCTAGTCAGTATCATCCTTTGACAGGTGTTAGGGGAAGTTTGGGACCTCTTAGGACACCAGCAGCAGTCCTTCCATGCTTAGTGGGTGCTTTTTAAATTTTGTTTAAAAATTTGTTGCAGTGATGCCATTGATCAGATTTGGAGTCTCTGAATATGGTTAAACTGAGGCTCTCAAGTGAGAGTTTGAAGTTAAGTTTGAATTGTTAGTTAAAGCCTGAGACCAAGTATCTCTCTGATCAGCCTCATCTACGAGGCTTTTATGGATCTGGATCTTTCACAGATAATCTCCATAGTCAGATAATTGCTCAGAGATTAGTGGCTTGCCTGACGTTACACAGCAACCAAGAGATGGGACTAGACTGAGAAACCCAGTCACCTCTCCTCACTTAATGGGAAGAAAGCAGGATGTTGCCTAGCATTAGAATTTTTAGTCAGTATCCTTATACATTCTCCACGTTAGCAGCCATGTGATACAACTACTCTGTAGGAGGTGAGAAGGGCAGGGGAATAGGAGAGCAGCTGTCATGGTTAGAGGGGATAAGAGAAACTAGCATGGTCTCTGCACACACTACGAGCCCAACATGTTTAAGTAAGGGGACCTGTAACAAGGATGGTGGGTTTGCCATAGTTAATCAGGCTTCTGTGTTGGGGTGAGAGCATTCCTAGGGACCATTTCTTCTAACCCACAGAGGCCATCGGGAGTCTCCCACCCTTCTCCAAACAGAACAAGCAGCTCGTGCAACAGCTCCTGTGTCTGGTGCTGACACAGGCATGGCATCCTCCTTTTTGTTCCCCCAACCCAGGTCTGCTTCAAATACTTCTGCCGGAGCTGCTGGCACTGGCGGCACAGCATGGAGGGCCTGCGCCACCACAGCCCCCTGATGCGGAACCAGAAGAACCGAGATTCCAGCTAGAGGAGCTGGCCTTGCCCAGTGGCCTGTGGCGCCCAAAGCTGGCAGGTCAGGCAAGCAGCCTGCACCACCCTGCCACTGGCGACCAGGGAGCTGGCTTCCCAAGGACAAGGGAAAATTGTAGTCACCTTTGCACTTGCTGAATCTGTCTTTGTTTCTGCACTAATTAATGCACATTGAGTTTTGTCAGGTTTTGTTTTCAGGGGGTGTACCAAGGGCAAGGACCCTCTGGCTTACCCTCCAAGCGACTCTGTAGTTTTCCCAGATTTTAGTTCCTCATTTTGCAGATGAAAAGCGGGGAAAAAAAAAAAAAAAAAAAAAACTACGTGTCCAGAAGGTATTGAGGTATTGACACGGATGCCTACACCTAGGTTTATTTATTAAAAGCGCTTTTTTACATTCCTTGCAATACTGATGGTGATGATGCGCAGGTCTCATTGGTTTCATTCTTGCAGTTGCCATACAGTGCCTTTCCATTTATTTAACCCCCACCTGAACGGCATAAACTGAGTGTTCAGCTGGTGTTTTTTACTGTAAACAATAAGGAGACTTTGCTCTTCATTTAAACCAAAATCATATTTCATATTTTACGCTCGAGGGTTTTTACCGGTTCCTTTTTACACTCCTTAAAACAGTTTTTAAGTCGTTTGGAACAAGATATTTTTTCTTTCCTGGCAGCTTTTAACATTATAGCAAATTTGTGTCTGGGGGACTGCTGGTCACTGTTTCTCACAGTTGCAAATCAAGGCATTTGCAACCAAGAAAAAAAAAATTTTTTGTTTTATTTGAAACTGGACCGGATAAACGGTGTTTGAGCGGCTGCTGTATATAGTTTTAAATGGTTTATTGCACCTCCTTAAGTTGCACTTATGTGGGGGGGTGGGGTTGATAGAAGTTTTTAATCACAAAGTCACAGGACTTTTTTCTTTTGTAACTGAGCTAAAAAGGGCTGCTTTTCGGTGGGGGCAGATGAAGGCTCACAGGAGCCCTTTCTCTTAGAGGGGGCAAGTACCCTTCCCTTATATCTTTAATTTGAGGAATGTATGAGATAACAGTTGCAGTTGACTGAAATGCCACTGGAATTTGAAAACTTGACTTTTTTTTCTTTCCTTTTTTTTTTTTTTTTTTTTTTTAAAAAGAAACAAAAAACCCACAAAAACTACTTGCCCCTCCTAGGGAAGCTGTGTGCCAAAGAACCAGTGTCATAACCCCTCCCTCCTGCTGAGCTGACGTTGCATTGTTGCATATCCCAGCTACTCTGTGGGTTTTGTGAAGCTGTGTGTGAAGTCTCTACCTCATTGTAGTATATGCAGGCAAGACTGCACTCTCCTACAGATGTGTGGAGTAAGCTGTGGTGTAGTTTTTTTGGCACATAATAAACACGTTGCAGCAGAGTTCTGGTTTTGTCTCTGTGTTTGAGGTCTGGGAGCAAGGGGCTAACGGGAGGGAGTAAGGGGGTAATGGCACAGCCACAGCTTGTTTCCTTGGATTTCTGTGATGGAGATCCTGGCCCAGGATAATGGTGGGACCATGTGGGAGACCTGCCCTGTGAGTACTTCTTGGTCCCTTCCATCGTCAAATATACTTTGGAGATGCTTCTCCAGTGGATGGGTGCTTCTAGCCCAAATATAAAAAGTCCTCATATCTTAGCTTCTCGGGGGTCCTCACAGCCTCCAGGCCCAGCTTAGAGAATGCTGGAGGCACAGCTGCTCACGTGCCAGCAGAAGCCACTTGTTCTCAGCTTCTCCTGGAAGTCTTGGCCTATTACTTCTTCGGAGGCTGCTCATCCTCTTGGACCCACCTATGATGATGCAGTTCCTTTCTGAGAGGGAGTGATTGGGTTTTTGCTGTTCAGAGAGCCCTATCAACGGAACTTTCTCAGAGCTCACAGGATTTCTGGCAAGGTCTGCTGATTTTTTTTTTTTTTTTTCAGTCGAGTTGGCCTGGGCCCAGCTGTTGGACCGATTCTTTGGGAACCTCCAATTTAGTCTGAGGTGGAGGGAACCCTGCATACTGAAGCTGTCTCTTCTGAGAGAGGTGCAAGAACTATTGGGCAAGGTGGGGGAGTCTCCTCACAAAAGGAGAGGCCTGGCCGGGCGCGGTGGCTCACGCCTGTAATCCCAGCACATTGGGAGGCCAAGGTGGGCGGATCACGAGGTCAGGATTTTGAGACCAGCCTGGCCAACATAGTGAAACCCCTTCTCTACTGAAAATACAAAAAATTAGCCAGGTGGTAGTTGCAGGCACCTCTAATCCCAGCTACCCAAGAGGCTCAGGCAGGAGAATCTCTTGAACCCGGGAGGTGGAGGTTGCGGTGAGCCAAGACCATGCCACTGCACTCCAGCCTGGGCAACAGAGTGAGACTGTCTCTAAATAAATAAATAAATAAAGGAGAGGCCAGACTGGGCACAGTGGCTCACGCTTACAATCAGCACTGTGGGAGGCTGAGGCAAGAGGATTGCTTGAGCCCCAGGGGTTTGAGACCAGCCTGAGCAACATGGGAGACCCCATTTCTACCAAAAAAAAAAAAAGGCATGGTGGTGTGTGCCTGTGGTTCCAGCTACTAGGGAGACTGAGGCAGCAGGATCATGTGAGCCCAGGAAATCGAGGCTGCAGTGAGCTGTTACCATGTCACTTCACTGAAGCCTGGACAACTGAGCAAGACTCTATCTCAAAAAAAAAAGGCTGGCCGGGTGCAATGGCTCACTCCTGTAATCCCAGCACTTTGGGAGGACAAGGCGGGTGGATCACCTGAGGTCAGAAGTTGGAGACCAGCCTGGCCAAAATGGCAAAACCCCATCTCTACTAAAAAAAAATATATATAAAAATTAGCAGGGCGTGGTGGCGCACGCCTGTAATCCCAGCTACTTGGGAGGCTGAGGCAGGAGAATCGCTTGAACTTGGGAGGCAGAGGTTGCAGTGAGCCGAGATCGCGCCACTGCACTCCAGCCTGGGCGACAGCAAGACTCCGTCTCAAAAACAAAAACAAAAACAAAAACCCTGATCTTTCACTTCGGGCCTGACAGCAGCTTGACTGGAAGTTTGCTCCCGCAGTTCTGAGATTCTGGCCTTTTCTTTTGTCCCATTGGTACTTTTTGCTGCCAGGGTTTCCTGTCCTTCAGGTTTCCATCCCCAATCAGTTGAGAGTCCGACTGGAGTACCCAAGGTGCGTTGAGGAATGAGGCACAGCCCTGGGCTTAACTCATCCAGCCTGGCCAGCTCAGCCTTCCCCTGTCAGGTGGGAGCCTAGGATTGCTGTCAGCCCAGGGAGCAGAGTTGGAAGAAGGGGGCAGGGCCCTACCTAGGCTGCGGCCCATCGGGGCAGCCTGCGCTGGTGGCTTCGGAAGGCCCTGGTTTGAGGATGGGTGCGGCAGGAACAGCCTGAAGATAGTGGATGGAGAAGGTACCTGAGGTGTTGGGAGCTCTGCTGGTGAGCTGGGCCCTTCACGTCAATGTTAGAGGTTGTTACGTGCTAGGCGCTGTTCAAGCACTGGGAATTAGCTAAACAAAATGACCATTACTGTCATGGAGCTCACCCCTAGTTGAGAAAAATAAGCCGAATCACACGGCAAGTGCTAGGAAATATAAGCAGGGATAGTGAGGGAGTTATTTTACCTAAGTTTGAAGGGAAAGCCCTCTGATAAGGCGACATTTGAGCAAAGGCCCGGAAGAAATGAGATACGTCTCGCCCAGTCGCACCCTGTCTCTACCTGACAAGTCTCCGGCCCGCGGACTGAGTGGGGGACCTGGGCGGCCGCCATCCCCCACTTCCTCATTGTTCCACGGCCCTGGATCGCCTTCTTTTCTCGGTCCTCCCGAGGACCGGATGCTTCTCCTCTCCCTGGCGTGTGTGGAAGAGATGGACGCTACGCTAGAGCACATCGCACGGGCGGTCCCATTAAAAATCAGATGGGGGAGAGAAGCGAGCCCAAGTCAACCGAGGGGAGCGGGGAGCGGAAAGGGAGGAGCCGTCGGGGGCGGGACAGACACCCTGCCCACCGGAGGGCGCGCCACCGCCGCCCCCGCTCCACTCCGCCAGGGGGCGCTGTGTGGCTCCCGAGTAGGCTCAGAGCGACCGTGGCCGGGCGGAAGCGGCTTTCTGGCCTAAGCTTTAACAGGCTTCGCCTGTGCTTCCTGTTTCCTCTTTTACCAAGGACCCGCCAACATGGTAGGTGTTTTGGCTCGAGGCCGCCATCCTCCACAATCGTCCCCCATCTGCAGCTTCCCGCGGTCCTCAGCCCACAGAGAGGCCCTGGGCCGGGAAGGCGCAGAGCCCTGTCAGGCTGGAGCGCAACGGGCCGGCGGCTTCCGCATTAAGCCCGGCGCCCGGCACTGTTTAGCCGGGCCCTCTCCGGCTCAGCGCAGCCGGCGGTCCCCAACCACACCGGCCGGGGCTCGGCGCCGCACTCTTCCCAGAAGGTTGCGCTGGCTCGTGAGTGATCCTGTCCTCTCCACCCGCAGGGCCGCGTTCGCACCAAAACCGTGAAGAAGGCGGCCCGGGTCATCATAGAAAAGTACTACACGCGCCTGGGCAACGACTTCCACACGAACAAGCGCGTGTGCGAGGAGATCGCCATTATCCCCAGCAAAAAGCTCCGCAACAAGATAGCAGGGTGAGTCGGGCCTTCCTCGGCCTCCGGGGCTCCGCGATCTGTTTGTGTGCTCTGCCGCCCTCCGACTCGGGAAGAGACGGTGCCTTGGTGGTTTCGTTAGCCTGAGACTCCCTGGTGTCCCGGAGAAGGGCTAGAGCTCTGCGTGTGCAGGATTTCTGTTGTGAACTTAGGCCTGTGTCATGACTGGCCGCGGTGACCCTGGGTCGAAGGTAGCCACCGTCAGACCTCTTGCTTTGAAGCTACGTTGCTTTTAGTTGTCAACTTTTTTCTTTCTTTTTTTTCTTTTTTTTTTGAGACGGAATCTTGCCCTGGCGCCCAGGCTAGAGTGCAGTGGCGCCATCTCGGCTCACTGCAACCTCCGTCTCCCGGGTTCAAGCGATTGTCATGCCTCAGCCTTCCCAGTAGCTGGGATTAGAGGCACGTGCTACCACACTCGGCTAATTTTTGTATTTTTAGTAGACAACAGGGTTTCACAATGTTGACCAGGCTGGTCTCGAACACCTGACCTCAAGCGATCCGCCCGCCTCGGCCTCCCAAATTGCTGGGATTACAGGCGTGAGCCACCTCGCCCGGCTGGATGTCAACTTCTAATGCTTACTTCACAGTTGCAGTTACTGTTCGAGAGATTTATAGGCATATGGCCTGGAAGAATAGTGCCAAAGTCAACGTATTAATTGCCAAGTTATGTGAATTTGAAATTGGAAGAAAATGAAGGCTGTGAAGGGTCGTGAAACTGCGGGGCGGGGCGGGGCGAGTTGGGGGTGGGGCGCTTGATCATCATGAAGGAGAGTTTGAATAGAGAGTGAGAAACCAAGGGGAAGGAATGCTCAGGCCAGTGGAGGTTCTATGTGTAGGAGGTCCCAGGATAGTGAGTCCTCTTCCTTCTCACTGTGGAAAAGAACTAAAGCGGGTATTTATATATGCACATGTGCTCAGTACCAGGTGGGAGTTGATTTGTCTTCTCACTGTTCTCTTTGGCTGTGTGTGCTTTGTAGTTATGTCACGCATCTGATGAAGCGAATTCAGAGAGGCCCAGTAAGAGGTATCTCCATCAAGCTGCAGGAGGAGGAGAGAGAAAGGAGAGACAATTATGTTCCTGAGGTAAACTTTCTGGATATTTGGGCTTCTGGCTAATCCTCAAATGATAAAGCTATGGGTTCTTGGCTTCCAAAGGGACCTCAGCTGAATCTGAGACCTTTAATCCATACATTCCATAACCAGCTGTGGGTGCCCATAGGCCCCCTACCAGTTTCTTAGCCTCCATTCTGCTCTTCTGGAACCAGTTAAGTCTATTCCATATTTCATGAGAGCCCTTAATGTTGATTTGATGACTGCTGTCGTGGCTCGATTGTTTGCCCCTAATATAGTATTCTTTGGTGTAAACACAGACTTCAAGTGTTCTGAATACTGAATGAGGGCATGGGAAGGTAAGGCCAGAAGAACAGGTCATCGGGGTCTGTAATACTGTAAGAGACTGCTCACCTTGTGAGAGGAATGCTATCCTTGTGCAGCTCCTCTTCCCCATATTTAAGAACCTGGGGAGAGGAGGAGGAGAGGTGAGTGATAATCTCATTGATTGGTATTTTGACCCTACCTCGTTTCCTTGTAGGTCTCAGCCTTGGATCAGGAGATTATTGAAGTAGATCCTGACACTAAGGAAATGCTGAAGCTTTTGGTAAGTGTTTGCTGGATTCCTAAAGTGGTATTTTCCTGGTCAAAAACCATCAGTAGGTCTTATTATCCAAGGTCACCCAGCTAGTAAGTGGCAGAGTTGGGAATCCCATCTAAACTTGTAGCCACTAAACTGGACTGCTTTCATAAGGGGTGTAGCGGAAGTTGTGTGCATTGAGTTAGTTCGCCACAAGATCATGATTCCCAAATCTAGTGGCTTCCAGGACACCTTTTCTCTCTTGGCTGCTTCTGTTCTTGGTTTTATAGCTGGCTTACGTTGCCCCCTTTGTGTCAGCCCTGGCTGAATCTGCCTGCTTTTCTTCTGTGAAGGCATTCCTTTGGTGTCTCCATGCTAACCACTCAGAAATGAGCTTTGGTCCATTTCCAGGTACATACAAGGCACTACTTAGGTAGTTCACGAGTATCTTCATTGCACTTTGATGTTTTTTCTATGGCTTATCTTAGTCCTTTTGCATACTTGGGTGAAAGCATGGGCTTCATGGGCGGTTGGTGATTTTGAACAACTTCATTTTTCCTATTTTTATGGTCATTAAATGTTTAAGACACTCAAAAAGGTAGTAGCAAAATGAACTCACATGTACTTTCCCAGCTTCAGAAAAACATCACCAGTACAGCTACAGCCCCGCTGTGGGTCTTTTCTTCCTGAAATAACCACTGCGCTGAATGCAGCATTTTTGTTGAAACTAAAATGGGTTTCTGAGGACCAAATAGGACATGGAGTTCCAGGTATAAGTTGGGCCCTTGGCTTCTTGCCCTGCCTACCAGCCTGAACTTGTTTGAGGGCAGGGTCTGCTCTTGCCTCCCTCCCTTCTGCTTGATGCCTTGTGTACTTGGGCCCTTCACAAATGTTGATTAGATTAGTAATAGCTCTTACCCAGGGCTGGTCCTGGAAAGCAAGTGGCACTGTGTATTCTCAAAGGGACAGAGTTTTGCTTTAGAGGACATTTGGCAATGTCCAGACACATTTTTCGTTCTCATAGCCAGGGGATACCTGCTAACTTCTAAGGGGTAGAGGCCAAGGATGTTGCTAAACTTTCTGCAATACACAGTACAGCTGCCTATAACAAAGAATGTCCAGCCCAGGATGTCTACGTTGCCAAGATTGAGAAACGGTGTTTTAGAGTGATTGATAGGAAGGGGTTGTGAAAACAGATACAAATGGCATGGTACATTGGGTAAAAGTCATAGAGTTGTAAATGGGGATACCACATGGTCAGGTGTGTGTTGAAGGAAGATCACTCTGGAAAAGTGGGAGGCATTGAGAACCCTGTTGGCTCTTAAAGGGTCCTTCAGGTCGCCTCTGGACCCCCTTGAGAGTGCTGTGGCTCTAGGGGCCTGTGTTTTCTTCTGGGGTCCACTCACAGATCTCACCAGTAACTGCTCACTGAATCCATTTTCTCGTTCCAGGACTTCGGCAGTCTGTCCAACCTTCAGGTCACTCAGCCTACAGTTGGGATGAATTTCAAAACGCCTCGGGGACCTGTTTGAATTTTTTC
This sequence comes from Homo sapiens, assembly GCF_000001405.40. NCBI lineage: Eukaryota > Metazoa > Chordata > Mammalia > Primates > Hominidae > Homo > Homo sapiens. The sequence goes on along the minus strand of NT_187606.1, from coordinate 325,898 downwards.
TGTAGTGCTGTATTATTTTCAATAAATCTGGGACAACAGCCTTGCCTGTGTCATCTTTGCAGTTGTGTGTGGGTAGAGGAAAGGCAGGAGCTCTCGAGGCAACAGATCAGCTGGCACTTGTCTGGGATTCAGGTGCTGCTGCATCTGGTTTATGGGGAGTGGGTTCACCAGAGTTTAGTAAAGGAGCAAGGGCAAGCCTGAACGTGTTGAGAGTGGTCTGCAGTATGAGCCTGGAAAGCTGCTTTGGCAGCTCCACCCTGCTTCCCTGGGTCTTCAGCCCCTGCTGGGTACATACAATTTGGGCCAACTTGCCCATGTTCAGAAGGTAGCAACAGGATTATCGTGTATCAGAGGTTGACTTTCTTTCAGTGGGAGTTAGGATGAATGGTGTCTTTGTGTCCAATGTTGAGCCCAATGCCTAGAACATAGGAGATCTCAACAAATGTGAATAAATGTGTATGGGAGGATTGATACTGGGATGCTTCAGCCTAACCGGAGGCAGAGCTCACCAGCTGCAACCTGGGTAGACTACCCTGGACTCTGAGCTTTATTTAGGCTCTCTGTCGCTGTCAGTTAACCACGTGTGTGTGTGTCTCACAGGAGCTGGGCTGCACTTGGTTGGTTCATGCCCTTGCATATGAGGAAAGCTGTGGGCTCTTTTTCTCCAGTGGGACAAGGAGCTGTTGCAGAGCCAAGCTTAGCTGGCTGCATGTCCAGGAGAACAGGCAGGCATGGTGGCTCACACCTGTAATCCCAGTACTTCAGGAGACTGAGGTGGGAGGGATTGCTTGAGCCTGAGGGTTGGAGACCAGCCTGGGCAATACCAAGACCTCCTCTCTACTAAAAAGGTAGAAAATAAGCTGGGCATGGTGATGTGCATGTGTAGTCCAGCTACACATGCTTAGGCGGTCAGAGGGCTGCCTAAGCCTTGGAGGTGGAGGTTGCGATGAGCCGAGATCATGCCACTGCACTACAATCTAGGCGACGAAGTGTGACCCTGTCTCCAAAAAAAAAGCAGCCAGCAAGTGGGAAAGCTCTAGCCTTAAAGTGATTCTTACATATCTATTTCTGTCAAGCAGATAAATACAGCAGACATTTTTAATGTGTTTTGTAACTTAATTTTTGTATAATTTCAAACTTACAGAGAAGTTGCAAGAATAGTACAAAGAACACCCAGGTTTACCAGTTCACATTTTGCCTCAATGGCTTTATTTTTTTGCGGGGGGGGAGATGAAGTCTCACTCTGTCACCCAGGCTGGAGTGCAGTGGCACAATCTTGGCTCACTGCAACCTCCATCTCCCAAGTTCAAGTGATTGTCCTGCCTCAGCCTCCTGAGTAGCTGGGATTACAGACGCTCACCGCCACACAAAGCTAATTTTTTTTTTCTTTTTTGAGACAGAGTTTCGCTCTTGTGGCCCAGGCTGGAGTGCAATGGCAGGATCTTGGCTCACTGCAACCTCCACCTTCCAGGTTCAGGTGATTCTCCTGTCTCAGCCTCCCAAGTAGCTGGGATTACAGGCATGCACCACCACGCCTGGCTAATTTTGTATTATTAGTAGAGAGGGTTTCTCCATGTTGGTCAGGCTGGTCTTGAACTCCCGACCTCAGGTGATCCACCTGCATCAGCCTCCCAAAGTGCTGGGATTATAGGTGTGAGCCACTGCACCAGGCCATATATTCTTTATATATATATATATATATATACACACACACACAACTTTTTATATTCAAGAAAGTCTATTACATTTATTCTTTATTTTAACGATTTATTTTTTTTTAATTATTGTTATACTTTAAGTTCTAGGGTACATGTGCACAACGTGCAGGTTTGTTACATATGTATACATGTGCCATGTTGGTGTGCTCCACCTGTTAACTTATCATTTATATTAGGTCTATCTCCTAATGCTATCCCTCCTGCAACCCCATGACAGGCCCCGGTGTGCGATGTTCCCCATCCTGTGTCCCAAGTGTTCTCATTGTTCAGTTCCCACCTATGAGTGAGAACATGCGGTGTTTGGTTTTCTGTCCTTGTGACAGTTTGCTCAGAATGATGGTTTCTAGCTTCATCCATGTCCATACAAAGGACATGAACTCATCCTTTTTTATGGCTGCATAGTATTCCATGGACACACACAACTTTTTTTCTGCTCCACTTGAAGTTAAGTTGGAGATGTGCCCATTTACTCCCAAATATTTCAGTGTTACTTCCAGAACAAGAACATTATTTTATATAACCACAATACAATGATCAAAATCAGGAAATGTAACTGATGTAATACTATGTAATTCAGTCAGTCCTTGGTCACATTTTGGTCACATTCACAAAATGTGAAAAGTCATGGTTGATTTATTTTGTCTTTCAATTTGGGTTTTAGTAGCCGGGACCACAGGTATGGACCACCATGCCTAGCTAATTTTTAAATTTTTTGTAGACATAATACCTCCTGTGTTACCCAGGCTGGCCGTGCACTCCTGGCCTCAAGTGATCCTCCCCGCTCAGCCTCCCAGAGAGCTAGGATTACACTAGTGTGTGAGCCACCACATTCAGCCATGTACTCTTATATCTGTTAATCTGTTAGCCAACCTTTGGCTACCTCCTCCCCCTTCCTCACCTCTAGTAAACACTATTCTAAGCAAATAGATCTTAAAGGAGACCACCCAGAACCTGGTAGACTCCTATACAGCCATTGTCAACAAGACAGTGTGGGACCTCATGGTTGGTCTCCTGCCCAGGACCATCATGCACCTCATGATCAACAATGTTCATGCACTGCCCCATGGGGGCAGGGGGCGACTGTGGCACTGGGGATGGAGGTGGCCATGCTGGCCTGGGAGAGATGCCGACCAGCCCTATGGGACCAGGTCCAGGGAGGGAGGCATGGTCAAGACCAGAGCTGTCCCATAGAAATATAACATGGGACTGGGCACAGTGGCCCATCCCTGTAATCCCAGCACTTTGGGAGGCCAAGGCAGGAGGATCGCTTGAGCACAGGAGTTTGAGACCAGCCTGGGCAACATAGTGAGACCTGGTCTGTACATAAAAATTTTAAAAATGCTGGACTTGGTGGTGGCACATGCCTGTAGTCCTAGCTACTCAACAGGCTGATGTTGGAGGATCACTTTGAGCCCAGGAGGTTGAGGCTGCAATAAGCAGTGATCTCACCCACTGTACTCCAGCCTGGCGACAGAGTGAGATCCTATCTCCAAAAAATTTTTAAAAACCAAGTAGACAGGTGTCCTGGTGGCATGATAGGTCCTGGGTCCCCTTCCAGATCTGTAACCTTGGACAGGTGACTTTTCCTCTGGACCTCAGTGTCCCCATCTGAGTGAGAAAAGGCGGTGGGGAGGCAGATCTTCGAGTCTTAAGTGGTGTAGAAGCTGCGCCTGAAAAGCCGTACTTGGGGCTCCAAGCCCAGCGCACAGTCCTAGCAGGGCCCGGCAGGGCAGCCAGGGCAGCACAGGCATCAGGTTGCACCCTCCTTGCCTCTTTGCCCACTCTCAGACCAAGGAATTCATCTTCTTGGAGCTGCTATCCAACCTGTACTCGCATGGGGACCAGAACACGCTGATGGAGGAGTCTGCAGAGCAGGTACAGCGGGGCGATGAGATGCTGTGCATGCACCATATGCTGACAGAGGTGCTCAGCAGCATCAGCGACATCAACATGATCACCATCAGCATGCCCATGGGGGCCCGTGGATGACTCTTGGCTGCAGGTGCAGAGCATCCTGGCTGGACGCAGGTACCAGGGCCGGCCCCCACGGTCCCAAAGTCCCCCAGCCTCCATGACTGAGCCTGGGGAGTCTTGGAACGGGCTCCATGCCCAAGCTGGCAGATGTGGGTGCTCTCTGGAGCCATCAGAGAGGGCAGAGAGCTTGTGGTTTATGGTGTGGGGGCTGGGAGCTTGGAGGGGGGTGTGTGTTGGGCTGGATTCTGAGGCAGCCAGAGGCCTGGGAACATCATCCTGGGCACGCCGTACCTGTCGTGCAGTCTGAGTCATGCTGCAGGGCAGGTATCCAGCTCCCAGCCTGGGAGTGCCGAGAGCCAAATCCACTCCAGATTAGGGGTGATAGTCAGGGTCCCACTTCCTCTATCTGTCAGCAATCCAGTGGTGATCTAGGATAAAAGCCTGAGAGTCCTATACACACGGTCATCCCACAACACACTTCACAGGCCAGGCAGGGACACACAGACCCCATCTCTCCCTCCCAGATACCATCACAGCTGCTAGTGTGTGACCGAAGGCAGGGTCCCTGGCCCCCGCTGAAGCACTACTGCCAGCCAGTTGGCTCATGCACCTTGGCCTGTTGCTCCTAGAGGTCACCTATGCTATTCAACCAAGGGGACCACAGTGCCTGCTGGCCCAGCTGAGCTCTGTCCAGTGAGCCTGCCCGCCTCTCCTGCCACAGACTCTCCCTCTTCTGCTTTTCCCTGCAGGAAGGGCCCAGCCTCACCTATGTGACCTGCAGTCCCCCAACAAGCTGAGGCTCCCCTCTTAGACTTATAAGTCTATGGCCAGTGGCATCTGGCTGCCTGCCCTCCCTGCCTCCCCCAGGGTCCTCTCAGAGGGTTCTGGGCTTTCTGATGGCCCAAAGGGGCCTCCAGTGCTCACTCCAACCATCCATCCCTTTTAGCTTCATCATCCTGGTTCAAGCAGTGTTCCTTCCCTATCAGGCCTGGTGGCTGTTGCTTGGGGCTCCCCAAGGCGAGGGGTGGCCCTGGGCCAGTGGGTTGGAAGACAGGGTGACCAGAGAAAAGGGAAGCCTGACGGGGCTGAGCATTGGTCTGAACTGTGGGTGCACTGCCTGGATGCCATGGGAGAGGCGTGTGTGGGGTGGGGAGGGCCGCTGCAGCCCCCAGGCACTACCTGTGAAGCTCCGGCTTCCCCCTCCATCCTCCTCCCCTTTCCCTTCCAGCCCCTTTTCCAGGAACCTTACTACACACCCGCACCTGTGCCCTCCCGTCCCCAGCCCTCCCACAGCTGCTGTGTCACTCCCATGCTCTGCACTTGCCTCACCAGCAATCCGCTTGCTTTTCTCTCTCCTGTTTTCTCTCTGCTTTCTCTCCACTTGCCAGCTGATCGGGTCAGGCAAGTCCATCCCGTCCTGAGAGCCCCAGGCCCCACTTTGACCTCTAAACAGATCCCTCCTCTACTTGGAGACTTCCCTTTCCAAGCCTGCCTGAGCAGGTGTACTATGACTTGACAGTGGCTCTCCAGCCCCAAAGCCAGCCCTCTTCATCTGTGACTTAGTCTGTTGTAGTGGTGAGCTGACACATCCAGGTGTGACCGTTGCTGAAAACTTGTGCCCCCTCTGTGGTATGCCCCTGCCCTGTTCTATAAATAGCTATATATATATATGCAGTTACACATGGCCGACCGCCTCGCCTCTAGCACTAAGAATAAGTCCCTGTGCTGTCCTTTTGGAGTCTTGTGGTCCAGCAAGAGAAAGCTGTCCCCTGACATCGCCCCTCCAAAGTGTGCCACCTCCAGTGAGACTCCCTGTCATGCCCAGCCTGTGGACAGCCAGCCCCCGCCATCCCTCCCACCCTCCACCAAGCATGGGGGTGCTGTGCAGGCAGCCATGTGGCCTGACAGTCTCTACCAGTCCTGCTGTCCCTCGGCTGAGAATCAAACCCATTTCCGGATGACGGAGAATGTGTCCTCTGCTGGCTGTGTTCTCTGTGGAGCTCAGGGGAGGGGAAAGGCCAAGCCATGTTTAGGTGCTGTTGGGAGCAAGTGAAAAGACCACATCCTTTCCAAGGGACACTTTTCCTGGAAAGTCCCTGGAGCTTAGCTGGCTTTTATCCTGTGAAGCCAGCTCCGGCCACTAGGGGTCAGGGTCATGATCTCAGCCTGGAGGGAGACTGAGGGGCAGCCGGCATTCTGGAGGGACAGACAGAACAGGCCACCCAGTGCAGACAGGAGAAGGAGGCAAGGGGACGGAAGGGAAGATGCCTGGGGTGGATGGAAGTCAGTGCCCTTGGGTGCTGGTATCTGACTTCCCGGCCACTGCTAGATCAGGCTTCTGAGCCTGTTGGCTGTCAGGGCCGTACTGTGCTCCATAGGTGCTATGGCAGTCCCCATGAAATCCACCAGGTGTCACCAGGCAGCATACAGGTAACAGGCCTGGAAGGTCCCCAACAGCCCAGCTGGACATGCTCAGACACTCTGGGGCTCCTCATTCAGTGGGACAAACTCCAGGACCCAGTGAAGGAAACGGGAACACACCAGGCTGAGCAGTATGGCTAAATCCATTTATTCCAAAATGAAAAGCAAAATAAACAGGAGTCGCATCACCAAGGGAGCCACGACCCCATCCCCGCCTCCTTCCTATGTCCTATGCTAGCAATAAATACGTTTCCCAGATGCAAATAATTATTAGATCCTCCTCCCTATATGCCAGCTCCAACCTCCACTAGGTACGATACAGGGGCAGCCCCACTCCCCAGAATATACAAAATGTTACGCAGATACAATATATACACTGGGGAAGGGGGGGTCACCCCAGCAGCCCATGCCCTTGCCTGGTCTACTGTTAGCCCCACTGTCCTGCCTCAGCTGCCTCTCTGAATAAGAAGATGGGAGCTCCCCTGAGGGAAAAGTTGCTTTGGCAAGAGTAGAGAGGCCATCAGGCCTACTCCAAACAAACCAACTCCACCAGCCTCTGGCTCTTAAATAACAAGCATCATCGTCCAGAAATTTAAGGACTCAGCCCTGGTCAAGGTGGCAAAGGGTCTGTCTCCCCCCATTAGACAGGGGTCTTGCTACCCTAATGGTAAAGGGCTGACTGGGAAGGGGTGGTAGGGACATGGTGGGGGCGGAGAGTCCAGACCCACTTCTCCAGGCTTATGCTGGAAGGGGCCTGCTTTTATTTATTTTTATTTATATCCCGTGACTTTTTTTAATCCCATAACTTCTTTTCCATAACTTTTTAAATAACTTTTCATACAATTTTTTCTACTTTTTTTGACACACTTTTCCACATTTTTTATCCCGTAACTCTTTCATCCCATAACTTTGTTTGTTCTTTTAATAAACACACTTACATAGTTACAATTTTGTAACAATAAAAACAGATTATCTCATGCCAAGCATGCCCATTATTTGCATGCTATAGTATTTAATACTGTAGTTTTCAAGACACACGAAATTTTAAGGCAAAAACAGCACTTTGCAACAATTTAATAATTTATTACATTACAGTAACATCACAGCAGTCAACAATGCCACTTTAGGCAAAAGTCAGTATTTCCATTATACATTCTGTTTGTAAGAATTCATAAATAGGTAAAAGTCATTCTAAGAAAACTTGGCAAATAAAGCTTTGGACTGGAATTGGCATTTCTTTCTCTACTTTTCCTTCCCCTGGTTTCTTTCTTTTAAACTGCAGTATTCATATTTAAAATGTTTTAACTTATTTCAAAACAATAAGATAGCAGTTACATTTTTTAATAGTTATATTATTTTAAAATGACAGATACAGTTTTAGAGAAATTATATTATGGATAGGGCTGATTTACATTTTCACATTTTCAAAAAATCATCTTTGGTTTTAGAACTGATTTTTTTCATTTCGAGAAAACCTATCTGGTTTAATCAAATACTTTAAAAATAATTATTATATATTGCCATCTTTAGATAGGTATTTTGATTCTTTACTTCCTACAGAAATTCACATTTATTCAGTTGAACTCATATTTTAAAATTCTGTTTCTGATGAACTCTAACCTTCTAATGTTGCCTTCTAAGCAAATTGAAAGCTGCCTTATACTGAATGAGGAAGAGAACAAATACTTGGCTGAATGAGGTACTGCAAAAGACTGCATGCACTTTGAAGGAAGACTTAAGTTATTGTCACATGATTTCCATTCTTTTTAGCTTTTTCTTAAACATATGACAAAATACCTACATGAAGAGTGGTATTTCAGTTAATATAGTACATTTATTTTTCAGACTGACGTTCAGCTTAAATATGCCTGTATGTGATTTAATCCATAGGTACCTGATGAACACATTATTGTCAGATTGGTTACAGATGCTAAACGCTATCCGAAGGTCATTCCTAGTCATTTATACGTGTCAGGGTAAAAGTGAAGTGATTTGAACTATAAAAATACCTTTGAAATAATTTATCAATGTATTCGGTAAACCCAGTTTCAGAATGATAAAGAAAAACTGTTAGATCAAATAATGTGGCTAATTAACAGTGGTATGACTTCTAGCCTGAGGGTTTAAAATGGACTTAAAGGAACTGTCTTTAAACTGAACTCAAAGAATGCAAAAGCAGCAAGTTCAGAAAATAAAAGGCAAGAACAGGACCTTAAGTCCATTTTAAACCCTTGGGCTGGAAATCCTACCACTGTTAATTAGCCACATTGCTTGGTCTAACAGTTTTTCTTTATCATTCTGAAACTGAGTTTCTCTAATACATTGATAAATTCATACAATTTGGAAGAGTCAGTTGAAGTCACAAGGGCTCAATATTTGCAATCTTTAAGTGAATGCAGGCAATTCTCTTATTCAATCTGTAAAATCGTATTATTGATCTCCTATTAATGTCATATTTATAAAAGTATCATGAGGATGCCCAATGCTAAAAGTGGAGATGGTCTAGTAACTAGAAATGCCCACCCCAGGGAGTGCAGATACATCTCTCCCTACATCCTAATGATATGATGTATTTTGGAACACAGACATTAGAACTTCATGAAGTTTTAGCTGTTGATTGTTCCCCAAGCATCCTCCAGTTATGATATAGGCAACATATGACTGAAATAATTCATTGATCATGCACATTAACATAAATATTACACAAAATATGCCTCTAACTGAAACCAAAAGGTATAAAAACATATTTCACTCTTCGTAAAGAACTTTGTGAGGAAATATAACTCCGTGATTGTATAGACACTTTCCTCATGACACTTTGACATTCACAAACAGTAGATTGCGCTGCAGTTTGTAAACATTTTAAGTTGCATAAACTGCTCCTTGATTTTCAAATGTAGTATAATACTGTCTACTAAAATTCCTTTTTGTTTCAACTAAGTACTCTCACATATATTTGTTTATAATAATGTTTGTTATTATTTTTAAAGCCTTTTCCATTCAAGAAAAAGAATTCCTCTGTCAGATGGTTGAAGACTAGCTATTAGCCAGAGAGGTCTAGATGGTAAAATCCATCTTCTAGCCTCAAATAAGCTCCATGAACACAGAGGAATGCCAGGTGTAACACAGCTTTCCTTCACTCGAATTCATTCTTGACTAGAGCCTGTATATGCCTGTTTCAGGGACATTTAAACTCTTAAAGGATTTCTTCTGATCTTTACTGAATACATTAAGGAGAATGCCAACCAGTGCCCTTTTGTGTACTGGGACATGTAGTCATGTGATTAAAACAGGGAACATGAACTCTGACTTTAAAATGTATTGTAGATATAAATGCTCTCAGCTAGAAAAGGTTTTCCACATCCACAGTCATGATGGGAGCCTTTCATTCCTCAGAAATAATCCCCTTTTAGGTCATCAAAAAAAAGTACAACTGCCACAGCTCATGATGCAATGTCTTCATGAGCCCAGAGCACATGCAAATCCTAAGGGAACTACCATAGTACAGCGCTCATTCTTGGCACCAGAACAAATGAAACATATTCTATCCTGCACACACCTGCCAGAGCAGGCCACTTTCCTCTTCTGGGAGATTTAAAAAGCTCCCCAAAATGTTATTACTCCCATCCCCAATACACAGAAAAAGGGGAAAAGGCTGTTTCCAGTGCTCCACCTTTAAACAACTGTAAATGTCAGTACTCACAGTGGCATATTACAAAGTAATAGACCGCGCACTTGAGGGCAAACCACATATTGAGCTAATGAAGAGCTCACTGTGATTAGGATTCGATCAAACATAACAGCAGAACATAAGGAAATTTTATCTGAATTCCGTAATGAATATACATGCTGTACTAACATTTAAAAAGCATGGCAGCCTATCCCAAACCAGCAAGAACAGTTGTGTGCATACAGTGCGTCTTTGTGTGTTTGAACTCCCACCACATAAGGGCAAACTCGATATGCATGCTAACGTCCTATAATTATCAAATTTAAAAAATGCTAAAGGATGCCAGAGTGAACATGAGAGAAAGACCCACTCTCATTTAACTTTTTACAAATAAATTTAAACTATAAATTAGAAACAAATAAATTTAAATTAGAAACACAAATAAACATAAGTGGCTCTAACATTCAAATGAAGTAAATGAATTGTGTAGGATATTAACCCCTTAAACGTTTTGTTGTTTTTTTTTAATTCCTTGACCCGCTCTTAGATGATGGTGATGTTTAGCTCCCTGTTCTCGGCAGCCCGAAAAGAATGGCATGCAGCCTCTCCTGCTCCTCCTGCCGCCTCTCCTGTACCAACAGCTTCTCCACCCAAGCCTGGGTGCTCCTGGGGAGTCCTGCATTAGAGGAAGCAGCTGCTGGATCTGCTGTGCAGTGGGGTTGTCATGGGGGAGAACCCTCCCTGTCCTGTCCCGGTGCAGCCTCCATGCTATCAGTGAGGCTCAGCTCACTAAGATCTTCAGAGAGAGGGAGGGGGTGGGAATCTGGGCACAGTGCGAGCCTCCCCTGCTCCTGCCTGCCCACCCCGCCTGAGGGCTCTACTCACCACCCTGCTTGTCCGCACATCCAAGCTCCTTGTGGGACTGGGGCTCCAGGTACTGGTCTGGCTGCTGCTGCAGACTCGGAGCCTCTTGGCTCTTCAGCTCCACCTGCCGGAAGACCCTGGGCATGAGGACATGTGGTGGCTGGCTTCCAGATTCCTGGCCCATTAATAGGGTAGCGAGGGCACTGTGGGGCTCTGTGGCCTGCCCAGGCCCCTGGCCCCTTGCTCCAGGCCTAAGAGACTGTCTCCCTTGCTTAGAACCCCATGCCTCCTTCCCTAGCATCAAATCTCACGTCCTTTTTCCCAGCATGTAAACTGTAGGCCACAGACTGGTGGAAAAGCAGGCGGAGCCAACCACCATCTGCTAAGTGTGCTACATGCCTAATGTTTCCACGTATTATCTCATTTAATCCTCAGCACCTCTGCAAGGAAAAGGCTAACTTCCTTTTGAAGTTAAAGAAACAGAGACTTAGAGATGCAAAGTAGTTGAATTATGACCAGTGGAACCGAGGCCGGAATCCAGTTTGAATCTAAGGAGTCTTTTTTGTTTTTCTGTTTTGTTTTGTTTTGAGAGAGTGTCACTCTGTGTCCCAGGCTGCAGTGCAGTGGTGCAATCTCAGCTCACTGCAACCTTCACCTCCCGGGCACAAGTGATTCTCGTGTCTCAGCCTCCTGAGTAGCTGGGATTACAGGCATGCACCACCAGGCCCGGCTAATTATTATTATTTTTTTTAATTTTAGTAGAGATGAGCTTTCACCATGTTGGCCATGTTGGTCTCAAACTCCTGACCTCAAGTGATTGTCCTGCCTCAGCCTCCCAAAGTGCTGGGATTGCAGGCGTGAGCCACCACACCCGACATAAGGAGCCTCTTATACCACTGTCTCTTCCTCTGTGATTGGGGGGCTCCATGCCTCTAGCTGGGATGATGATGTCCAGACCTGGGAGGACCCCAGGGCTACCCACCTCTAAAAGTCAGAGGGCAGGAAGCAAGAAACAGTCATAGGACTGCCCCGGAGGGTGCTGGGGTCACCTGTCCCCAGGCTGCAGCTGCCTGTGGCCTGGCACCTCCCCTCCCCAGAGGCTGGTGCCCGCCTCCCACATCTTCTTGGATGGGTCGGAGGTTACAGTCTCTTTCAGCTCACCCGACTTCTCCAGCTCCTTTACTTGCTGCTCCAACTGCAGTGTGCTCTTGTTCTCGTTGTTCTGGACAGAGAGAAGCAATCAGTGGCCACCCACTAAAACTGGAGACCCCAGAACTTAGTGTCGCCTCCCATGGCACCGGGAAGGGTGGAGGCAGGTTAGAAAAATATCCCCTCTCTCCCACAGCCATCAGAGCAGGGCTCTGGCTCACAGATGCCTTTAGAAGTACCATTTCATGTGAAGGCTACAATGCCCCATTTTACAGGTGGGGAAACAAAGGCCTTGAGGGCTAGGGAAGAGGGCAGCCTCCCCAGGTGGGGCAACGCACCAGCTCCTCGAAGCCGCTGCGTGGCTCGGCCCGCTGCTCGTACAGGGCTTCCCACCCCAGCTCCAGCATCCTCTCCAGCTCCCGCAGCCTCTCCAGTCCCGCAGAGTCTCCTGCTGCCACAGCCTCTCATCCTGTTACCGAAGCCTCTCCTGCTCCAGGAGCTCCTCCACCTCGTCCAGGAGCTCCTCCACCTCGTCCAGCAGCCTCTCCCTCTCCAGCAGCCTCTCCTGCTCCTCCTGCCGCCTCTCCTGTTCTAACAGCTTCTCCACCTCTTCCAGCAGCCTCTCCCTCTCCAGCAGCCTCTCCTGCTCCTCCTGCCGCCTCTCCTGTTCTAACAGCTTCTCCACCTCTTCCAGCAGCCTCTCCTGCCCTGGCAGCTTCTCCTGTTCACACAGCCTCTCCTCCTGTTCACGTAGCCTCTCCTCCTGTTCACACAGCCTCTCCTCCTGTTCACGTAGCCTCTCCTCCTGTTCACATAGCCTCTCCTCCTGTTCACACAGCCTCTCCTCATGTTCACGTAGCCTCTCCTCCTGTTCACACAGCCTCTCCTCCTGTTCACGTAGCCTCTCCTCCTGTTCATGTAGCCTATCCTCCTGTTCACGTAGCCTCTCCTCCTGTTCACGTAGCCTCTCCTCCTGTTCACGTAGCCTCTCCTCCTGTCTCCTGTTCAGGAGACTCAACATCTGATTGTTTTCCACCTCAGCCTGGAGCTGTCTTCCCACACTCTCTAGCTCCTTCCTTAGGTGGTTGGTCTCATCTTGTAGCTGCTCTACCTTAGATGGCCCTGCTGGGGGCTCTGGGGCCAGGGGTTCAGCTGAGAAAGGAAGCAGACAATAAGGGCCTCTGGATTCTCAAAAAAAAAAAAAAAAAAATCCTCCCTTCGGTGCACAGCTCCTCCTCTCAGGCTTCCCAAACTTGGCCTCACTGCTAATGACTCCTCACACCCGGATGGTAGCCAGTCTTCCAAGTCACTTTCAGATAGAGAGCACTGTGGGTGGCTGACAATGGGCACTCCTCCCTCTTTACTGATGGGGACACTGAGGCTCATGGAGATGACAAGACTTGTCCTCCCCTGGCACAGACCTCTTTCCCTCTGCCTCAAAGCCCTTCCATCCACCCACCTCCCTGGGGCATTCTAAGTCACCCCCACAGCCCTCTAATGCCAGTCCAGCTGCCAGGTCATGGCAGCCCCATCTTACCCGTCTGGTTTTTGAGTTTGAACAAGCTCCTCCCAAGCTTCTGTACCAGATGTATCTCATGCTTCTTCTCCTCCTTAGATGTGCGAACCTGCCCAAAGCAAAGGGGGAAAAGGGCCCTGGAGGGAGGGGCTGGTGAACCTCTAGAGACAGAGTTTGAGAAGGGCCCACCCCCCTTCTGCCAGTTTGTGATTTAGAAACGTGCATTCATTCAACAAACATTTACTGAGCATGTACAGGCCAGGTACAGTTCTTCATAGCAGAGATATAAAACAGCAAAGGACAGACAGGAGCCCTTGGCCCTGAGGTTTCCATTCTAGGGGCCTTTAAATCTCTGACTTTCAGAGCTAACCAAGACCTTTGATACTCTCTACCTCCTCCAGAAACACGAGCATAAAGAGGAGAGATGGCTTGTCCAGACTCAAAAAGCAAATTAGGGACTGAGGCAGGGCAGAAATATGGACCCCTGACAACCAGTCAGGCTAGTGCTTCCCAGAGAGGTGACAACCCCAGGGCATGTGTGGCAAGGACTAGAGCAGGGGTGTCTGGAGAAGAGAGAGTCAGCAAAGAGGGCAGTGCAGAAGAGCCATGCTGCATGTTCTGTGCTCTGGGGTCCCTCCAGGTGAGACCTGGGTGCCCAGCTCCCCATTTGCCCTTGGCATCAGGGGCCCCTAGCCCCTTTCTTCAGGGCCCCAAGAGGAAACTGGAGTCCAGGATTGACCAGCTGTAATCAGGGGACCCCACTGGACTCTTACCAGTGAATTGATGTTTTCAGTGAGTTGACTGATTATTGCGGAGCTTGAATCCAGGGCCACTGCTAGTTCTTGGTACTGGCTCTGAGGTGCATGCAGAGAGAAGGAGTTGGAGGAAGATTGTGGGGAGGGGTAGAGAGAATAATCATTAGGGCTGGTGGGGGTGTGTGGGCTGCCTCAGCTGGCAGAGGGGCAACAAGCCCCTGCTGTGGGAGGAGGTTGGAGGGCTGGCCTGCAGGGTCACTGCACCTCGGCCCAGGGCCTCTTACCTCCAGATCCTCCAGGGTAGTAGAGGATGCACGGCCTTCTCCGTAGATACCTGTTGCTGACTGCAAGAGATGAGAGTGCACATGGAGATGTTCTGTCCCCCCTCACTGTCTAAGCCCTCTGACTTCTTTCTTCCCCCATCAACTGGCAAAAGCTTCTTTTCTGCCTATCTTGGACCCTTTTTCCCATAACTCCTTTGTGCCAACTTCTCTCGTGGTTCTTATCTCCCCACCATCCCACCCTGGGGCCCTTTCAGTGACTCCTAAAGGGACAGCCTGATGGCAAGTGGCTCTTCTCATTGGCCTGGCTTCCCCTTGAGACTGGGGATGAGGAAAATCAAACAGCAACGACCATTTCCTCGGTGTCCTGGGTGTTTGCAGCAGGCCATGTACTAAGGATTCACATAAAAGCAACAATAACGAATCTCATTTAAACTTCACAAATGGAAGTCAAAAAATACCACCTCTATTATACAGATGTGAAAAGAGAGGCCCAAAGACCTCAAGCAACTTGCCCTAAATCATATGCTAATCAATCCCTAATCAATTCTTAGCAGACGGAGAGGCAGGATTCAAATCCAGAATTCTTAACCAGTACCCAACAGTCCATCTACAATCTTAACAATTACCCTCTACTGCCCCTTGGGCCCCCTGTCGCCAGGACCCTGGCCCGCCGAGACTCACATCCCCAGGTGAGTGGTAACCACCAGAAGTGGCTGTGTCAGGGCTACTGCCATTGATTTTCTTTTTCCTGTTAGCTCCTGCTGGAATGCCAGGGCTCTTCCTCTGCCAATATGCTTTTAACTGTGGGAAAGAAGAGCAGTAACACTCATGAGAATGATCAGCCCCTACAGCCACATCCTCCTTTACAGTTTTGACAAAATACCCTTATATACCATCTGATGTAATGCCACCAACAACTGTACAAGGTGTTGTCACAATCACTTAGTGACTGAGAGGGATTGATATCATGGATAGAAAAAAAAAAAAGAAAGATCAAAAAAGGCAATACTGGAACTTAAACTCAGTCCTCTGACTCCAAGCTCTGGGGTTTTGCCATGAATCAGCAGCTTCCAGGGACCAAAACCAGGGGCAGAGGTAGAAAAGTAAACATTAAGCAGGCAGGAACTGTAGGCCGTGTGGTTTAGAGTCATACATCCTCACAGGTCTGCTAGCGTGAAGAAGCGTACCAGTACCTCTCACACTTTCATATCAATGTGTCCTCATGGCAGAAGGCAGCTTTTCTATTAAATCTGGGAATTTATCAGAAAGAGGACAACCCAAGCCTCATTTCAGAGCGAAGTCTGGTATACGCTTGGAAACCTATGTGTCTGTCATCCCTAAGTACATTAATGCATTTTCTCAAGAGAATCAAGGGAAAATGATGCTTCAGAAAGATGTCCCACATTTATCCTGTGGCACTCAAAGTACCCCAGGTTGAGACGATATGAGGAAGATTCAAGCTGTCAAGTTCAGTTTCCCAAGATCTATTCCACAGAAGATGAGCAAATCTCACTTCAGAGGCCACTGACTGAAGGGCAGTCTGGTCCCAGAACCGTGGAGAACTCAGAAAAAAATGTTAAAGTCTCTCTGGAAAGTAGAAGCCTGGGAAAAAACCAAACCAAACCCATTCTCCCATTGCCACCCAGAGATACTGTGAACATTTTGAGCTCACAGGGGAAGTGTAGGATTTTTCCCACTGTCAATGTCTATGTTGAGGGAGTAAGGCAGCCTGAAACCTCTTGCTCCTAGGTCCCATAGTCTCCACTCCCCTTCCAGCTGGAAATTTGTGCTGCAACCAGAGGAACCAGAAATGGGGTGAGAAAACTTAGGGGACTGGGTTGTAAGATCAAAGGCCGGTCTTGCAGCAGTAATGACAGTTCCTAGGGGCACTGTGACATCATTGCATTCCACTCCTCCCAGGGGAGGGGACCACATCAGCGCGATGCCCGAGTCGCTGCTCCACGATGGGGGAGGGAAACACACGGTTTCGACCCAGGTCCTCAGAGACGCCAGCCCAAGAAGCCTAGGGAGGTCGAGCTTGGGGCAGCAGGAGGGGAGGGCAGAGTCTGCAGTAGGTAGCCCCGGGAGTCACCAGCCCAAAGCCACCCAGGGATGACTGGTGAGGGCAGGGCCTGGGGCTGGGGGACCAGGTCCTGGGAGACGCAAGCCCAAAGAGCCCAGGGAGGTTGGGCTTGGGGTGGCAGGAGGTGAGGGCTGATTATGGAGCAGGGAGCCCCAGGAGTCACCTGCCCAAAGTCACCCTGGGGTGATTGGCAAGGGCAGGTACTGGGCTGCTTGCTGAAGGGGTGGGGCTGACTGACTAGGCTTTGGTTGGGGGAGCCCAGAGGGGCTGGGGTTGGGGGGCCCCATCTGGTATGCCTCAGGAGTGGTATGGACTCTGGCACCGGTCTTGTCATCGGAGGGGATCTGTGGCTGGGTTGGGGGCCATGACCTGGTGTGTTTTACCTTTTTCTTGGCTGCGGCCAATTTCCCCTGTTGTGTTTTTTCTGACATCGCGGGGTGGGGAGGGAGGCGGGGTTGGGGCCACATCAGCGAAATACCAGTGAGCACACTGCTCAATGCCTCCAGTCACCTACCAGGCAGCTGTGCAACTGAGCCACAGGTGGCGTAACCAGGGCACCAATGGAACGCAGAATAGGGGCGTGGCCTTAATGCTCCAAGCCCATTGGTCAGTGAGAAAGATGAAAGGGAAAGGAGGCGTGGCCAGGCAGCAGCATGTCCAGAGGGACCTGTGGCATCATAAGGAAAGCTGCCCATGCAACCGCTGTCCCCGCCCACTCAGAGAAAGGGGAGGGGCCGCCCACTCTGGGAGAGGGGAAGGGCTGGGTTTTGCTTTAAAACTTTTAAAACTGTAAAAAATAAACTTTAAAAAATATATGTGTATATACTTTATATATATGTGTGTCTGTGTGTGTGTATCTATGTGTTCCTCCAGAGCTGTCTTCATTATGCAGCTTCTGTGCAAAGTCTGTGATTTTGGCCTATATTTTTCATCTTCAAATGGAGTACAAGAATTACCAGTATTACCTTAACTGAGATATAGATCCTATAAAAATGGAAAATCCATAGCATGCTTGATGATTAATGAAGCCGACTATAGTATCCGACATTCCAATAAGACAAAATAATCACAACAATTTCTCTTTTTTGGAAAAATGTTTGTCTTATTCTCCTACATTATTGTTAAGATTTCTTTTAAAAACAAGAAACATGTCTAATATCTTTAAAAACACAAAGCTTTTGGGCCGGGTGCGGTGGCTCACGCCTGTAATGCCATCACTTTGGGAGGCCGAGGTGGGTGGATTGCCTGAGGTCAGGAGTTCGAGACCAGCCTGGCCAACATGAAGAAACCCTGTCTCTACTAAAAATACAAAAACTAGCCAGGCGTGGTTGCGGGTGCCTGTAATCCCAGCTATTTGGGAGGCTGAGGCAGGAGAATCACTGGAACCCAGGAGATGGAGGTTGCAGTGAGCCAAGCTCACGCCACTGCACTCCAGCCTGGGCGACAGAGCAAGACTCCATCTCAAAAGAAATAAAATAAAATACAAAATAAGTAAGAACACAAAGCTTTCAATTTAATAACCACTTAAAGCTCTTTACTGGTTTAAGAGAAATACAAGGCCCATTTTTCTAGAATCACCTGGCCTCTCTAAGCCTTGCAAATGAAGCTGAATTTCTCACTTGATACTTGGCTCTCACTTGCAGTCATGAAAACCAAGAATTTGTTATGTCACTGTGTATTGCTTGTTACCTGAAATCCACACTAGGCTGGGATCAAGGGTTGAATCTTTCATGATTTTCTCCATAACCTGTGTGCTTCTTATCCCACACCAAACTAAGCTTTTTTTCTAGAGCTCTGCAATTTACAGTTAGTATATGAGAGCAGTTCTCAAAAATGTAGTCTCTGGACTAGCAGCTCCAGCAGCACCTGGGAACTTCTTATAAATACACATTCTCAGGCCCCACCCTGGACCTGATGAATCAGAAACTCTGGAGTAGGGCTCAGCAATCTGTGCTGCAGTAATCCCTCCAGGTGTTCAAGAACCTCTGGCATACAGCAGGTAGAAAAATGTGTTTCATTCTGTAGGTCCAAAACCAGGGATACTATATGTTCTGTCTCTATATGAAACAATGACGTGCAATTAAAAGACATAAATCTCCTTCCTGCTCCCACCTTCCAGCCAATGAGTTTTATTTTTATGAGTTAAATAAGAAAACAATCAGAGATTTCGTCTAAATCGCATATTTACAGGTATCAGTTCTCATCCAGCCTGATCTTATCCAATATCATTTATATTCTCTTACATGTGAAGTTTTAGAGAAGGATCTTCACAATGTAAGACTCAGGCACACTAGGAGTTCTATAATAAAACACCAAGTAGATCAGAATGTCCAAACTTACTGGAGAAGAAAAGTGGAATCATTGGCTATATTTTCAAATGGCAATAAACAGGAAATTAAAGTTTTGAATTTTTTTTCACCTTCATCCTTCCAAGTTAATAGAATTAAGCCAAAATACTTGTCTTCCAAAGCCTCTAGCCAGGCAAAATTTTACTATATTACTTCTTGCTTTTCAATGGCTATAAAGCAGACTCCTGGTAGGCACATTTGGTATACCTGCAAAGATGAAGAACTAAACAGTTCCATCTGTTCAATACTGAAACAAAAGTCCTGCCAACCTCGGATGGTGAGTGTAATACTTCAGCACTAGCACCAAAGCCTCAAATATGAAAAGATACCAAGAACACCACTAGCAAACAAAACTAAACTCTCGGCTGGGAGCTCTAGTTCATGCCGTAATCCCAGCACTTTGGCAAGCAAAGGTGGGAGGATTACTTGAAGCCAGGAATTCAAGACCAACCTTGGCAGCATAGTGAATTCACACCTCTACAGAAAGTTTTTAAAATTAGCTGGGTGTGGCAGCACACTTCCCGGGGCTGCTGTGCCATTGCTGGAAACTTCTCTATGGAGAGTACCAAGTACTTCTACCTGTAGCATTTTCCCTGGCTGGAATCCTGCAATTATCACAGTAGCCTGAGATCCAAGAAGGCAGGGCAGGAGCATCCTGTCCCCTTCCCAGCAGGTGCAAGGGAGGCTGGGGGGTGAGGCACAAGCCAGTGGGAGGGTGAGGAGCAGGAGGGATGCATGGTGAGCCTCTGTTGACTGCTTGCTGCCTCAGCTGGAAGGTCAGGACCCAATGTCTATTACAGGTTAAATTACAGAAGTATTTCAGATTTTGGATTTTTTTCAGATTTTGGAATTCGAAAATCTGAAATCCAAAATGCTCCAATGAGCATTTCCTTTGAATCTGGCCTTCGAACATCATGTCGGCACTCAAACAGTTTTGGATTTTGAAGCATTTCAGATTTTGGATTTTCAGATGAGGGATGCTGTATTATCTTCTGAATGAGGCCACTCATTCAGGAAAGCCCAGAGCTTGGGGACATGGAGCTGCAGACCAAAGAGGTGATTTCTGTAGTGGCTTTCAGTGCGGAAGGGCCCACAAAGCGGTTTAAAGCAAGCCACAAAATAGGAAACCCAATATTTAGCTAATGGAACTCTGATAAAACCTGCTCAAGATGTCTGTCTCTACTAATTCAGATGGAGCCAAGCCAAAGCATCATTATTATTTTAAAAAGGCACCAATCCCTCTGCAAAAGCACTGAATTATATCATGATACAATCATCAATTGTACCATGAATCACCATCAGCGGTGGTCTTTTAGGGATATGAAGAAGGGGTTTTCACAATACATCGCATGACACACCATCTTCCAAATCTCTAAACATTTCTCTCCACAGCCCAGTCCTCTCCATAGTTGTCCAAATCCCTCCCTCTTTTCTCTTGTTGTCTCCAAAACTCAAAACCATGCTCTGACTTTCTATATCCTGCCCTCCCCTTCTAGGACCACGTGGGAAGTCCCCTGCTTCCCCAGGGTGTCCCCTCCTCCCCTTCTGGGATCAGTCATCTTTCCTCAAATGGACCAGTTCGGCCTCTCTTAGTTTCTCCAACTCTGCATCTCAACCTTTCTCCCTTCACTACACAATAATGTCCAGGAGGCAAAGAGCCCACAAACCTGGGAACCTCCCTTTCCAGAAGGGAGGAGAGAGGTGACTACAAATATTTGGTTATGATTTTCTTCCCTGCCACGCCTGTTTTCATGGGCAGTGCTGAGCCCCAGTCCTGGCAGAGCTCAGAACCAGGCTCTCATGAGCTGGGGCAAGTGGGGCCTAGGGAACCTCTGGGTTGAGGACCTTGCACCCCACTCTGCAGCTGCCCTGCTGATTTGGCTCATGCAACCTCTCCTCCTGGGCTCAAGCGATCCTTCTACATCGGTCTCCCAAGTAGCTGGGATTTGGGCTACCACGTTTGGCTAATTTTTGTATCTTTTAGTACAGATGGGGTTTCACCTGTAGCCCAGGCTGGTCTCGAACTCCTGGGCTCTAGTGATCTACCCTCCTCAGCCTCCCAAAGTGCTGGGATTACAGGTGTGAGCACTGCGCCCGGCCTTGTGCCAGCTTTTAAATATCAACAAGGACAGATTAGAGAACAGTGGAAGAGGGTGAGCAGCATGATGAGGTGATACAGAAATAATTTCACATGAAGAACTGGGCATGCTTGGCCTTTTTTTTTTTTTTTTTTTTTTAAGCCATTCTGGGTTGGGTGCTGAGGCTCACACCTGTAAGCCTGTAATCCCAGCACTTTGGGAGGCCGAGGTGGGTGGATCACCTGAAGTCAGGAGTTCGAGACCAGCCTGGCCAACATAGTGAAACCCTGTCTCTACTAAAAATACAAAAAATTAGCTGGAATTGGTGGCATGTGCCTGTAATTCCAGCTACTCGGGCAGCTGAGGCAGGAGAATCGCTTGAACCTGGGAGGCGGAGGTTGCAGTGAGCTGATATCGTGCCATTGCACTCCAGCCTGGGCAACAAGAGTGAAACTCTGCCTCAAAAAAAAAAAAAAAAAAAGGAAAGAAAGAAAAGAAAATATATCTATGCACCAGAGCTCAACACGAGGTTAGGAGCATTTCTGAGATTTGGAGCTATTCAACCATGGAAGTTCCTGGCACATACATCAGGTATTCACAATACCCTTTCTCAGGTGTTTGGTCACTGCTAGTGAGCCTGCCTGGATCAGTGTTTCCCAAATGGCAGTCATTTGCATCTTTGCATTTTTTTTGGGGGGGGGGGGTTGTGGGGGTATATTCCATACCAGATTTTTAAAAAATTGACATTAAAAATACATGTATAAAATGTGTAAAGTGCACTAATCTAAAGTGCACTGGATGTATTTTTTATTGATGTACATACTTTTGTTATCCATCACCCAGGTCAAAATACAGAATCAGCACCACAGAGGGTTCCCTCCTCCTCCTTCCCAGCCAATAATCTTCTCCTCCTACCTAACCAACTGTTCTTACTTCAAGCACTGTCAACTAGTATTTTACATTCTTGAACTGCATATAAAGTGTCTCAAGTTTCACTTAACACTTTTCTTGAAATACACTTGTTTTTTGCCACTTTTTATTTGACCTAAGAAGTAACATTAATGAAACAATGATTTGACGTGATAGGCATTTCCCTCCTAATGAGCACTAAAACACTTAACTATTTGAAAAAAGAAGTTTCTCCGTGTACCAACTAATATATTCTCCTCGGCCGCCGTTGGTACACGGACCACATTTTGTTTCTCAAAGCAATCCGATGATTTCTGAGGTCCTTTGCAGCTTGAACACGGAACGACTGTGGTGATCGAGTAGCCAAAAGTTCACGGAATGCACTGTCACAATTGTGATTCCGCCATAGCGCCGTGCATCCATCCAACACTTGTTTAATACCTATATTTAATACCTAATACCTTAGAGTGTCCTAGGCTGTGGACACACAAGACTAAACCCCACTTCCTGAGTTGAAGTGGGGGAAATAGAGGAGTAAATCATTTCACGATGTGTGGTTAAATGCTACAGCTCAGGTAACCACGAGCACACAGAGAAAGGGCAGTTTCTAGAAACAGGGCGGAGAGGAGACCGTGAGTGGGCATTTCCCAGAGCAGTCTCTGCCAGCCACCCTGCTGTGATCACTTTGCCACAGAGCAGCCCCGGCGGTCAACCTCAGCCTCCCTTAGCAACCTGAGCGCCCCGCCCAGGTGCCTTACTATTGGTCTCGTGGAGCGGGATGGGCAGCTCTGCCGTGCAATCCCAGCTCGCAGCCCTTGCTCCGCGTGTACTCACGGGAGGACTCGCAGACGTTACTGCCCTCTTGCGTGCCCCGGCCACCCCCGGGCGGCTTGTAGCCGGTGCGCGGGGTGGCTGGGGCTACGTGCAGAGCTGTCGCGGAGCCGGAGCAGCAGCGGTGAAGCCCCTCGGCTCGGCCGAGACCGCCGTGCCCATTGCTCGCCTCGGTTGCCGCCGCTTTAGCCGCAGCCGCTGCTGCCGCCGCCGGGGGAGAGGCAGCCTATTGTCTTTCTCCGCGGCGAAGGTGAGGAGCTGTCTCGGCTCGGCCCGCGGGGGAGCCCCGGGAGCCGCACGGTGAGAGCGCAACTTAGTTGGCGGAGTTGGGGGAAGTTTTGTGATTTGAGGAGGGGTCGGGGTGCGGAGCGCGGCCCGTCCCCTGCGGCCGCTCGGTGGGGCGGGCCCCAGAGGAGGGTCGGGGGCTGCGCGGGGCTTCAGGGGCGGGCGGCACGGATGGGTAGCCGGGCGGCGCGGGGACCTCAGCTTTGCGGACCCCTCCTCCCTGCGCATCACCCTTCTCCCGCATTGTCTGCTTGGGGCTCGGCGCGCCTCCCACTCCGCAGCCCAACTTGGGGGCCGTCGCCGCTTTCCGGATGGGGGGCGCGCCCGGCGGCGGATGGCCCCGAACCCTTGCCCCGGGTCCCCGGGTTGGCGCCGCTGGGGCGGACTCACTCCTCCCCTGGGGCGGGCGGCCGCGGTGTGGAGTCCGCGCCGCGAACAAGTGCTGCGGGCGCGAGGGAGCGGTTCCCCGGGGCCGACGCGGACGGTAAACCTGTCCGGCGGCGCCCGCCTGCTGGGGCCTCTCCGCTGTTTCTCGCGGGCGCGGCCCGGCTGAAACTGCGACCGTCGGAGGCGAGCGGCCCTCTGGGACCCGTGCAGCCGGTCCACCTTGCAGCTATACTTTGAGACTAAACAATTTTTTTTTTTTTGCAAAGGCAAACCGGTATGTGAAGTTGAAAAAATCAAAAACCCTCAAATTTTCCTTCTTTTTTTTTTTTTTTTTTTTAAATCAAGAAAGGGGGTAGATAGGTTTGTTTTGTTTTGGAAATAGTTTTTATAGCAGAGTGATACCGTCACATTTAATGATCCTACTGTGAATTCAAGAATTCACGATGAAAGTTGGATTGAGCGGTATTTTGGTGTTCATTCTTTGCTGATACTCATTAATGAAGTTAGTTGGAGAATTTATTGCTTCAGTACAGTAAAAACCAGTGTGCCTTTTTTTTTGTTACTACTCCCCCCTCCCCGCATTGTTTTATTTTTCGAAGAAGCACTTTATTCAGTTTTTCTAAGCCACGGGATTGCCCAGATGAGGACCAACGGTGCAGTTCTTGAAAGGTCATTATTGGCAAGTTTGTGAGGGAGCTAAGATGAGTTGAGATAAACCAGTGTTACTGTTCTTGTATTCTGTCGTGGACTCTTGGGGATTTGCAGGCTGCATTAAGTACAAGTCTGGTCCAGTTTTGGGTGCACGTATTCCACTGAATTTGGTTCGTCTGGCTTATTATATGAACATGATTCTGTTTCACTTCCCCAGATGGAACTAGCTTAAATGTCTATCATTTATAGTGACAAATGATCAAAATGGCTAGAGTGTCATTTATTAACTTCAGTTGTAGTCCTTTACCTTACCTTCTGCTAAATGAAAAAGAAAAATTTGACAAATACTGTGTGCGTCATTTTGCTCTGAGTGATTTCTCGTGCTAAGTGAGTCCTGTGGAGAAGCGTTCCTGGGCTTTTCTGGTTTGGTGGGCCTTGTGTTATAAAACCAATTTTCTTCACCTGATGAAGCTAAAGACAAATTTTCTTCAGGCACAGGCATTGCCCTTTTAAACTACAGAGCCACTTGTAGGATTCACAATACTCACTCAATGGCTTCCCTTCCTGGCAGTGTGGTTTTGTGTGTGTGTGTGATTGTGGGGAAGGAGGCTGACAGAGGTTGGAAGGGATTGTCAGGGAGGGACATCATGTAAGCAAGTACTAACAACATAACGTGACGAGGGCACCAGTTGCTTTCCTTCTGTGGGCGGTGATGGCATGTTATACTGTAGGTACTATTGTTGTAGGATTTCTCACAGTTCGTTTGCCTTGACTAAATGGTAACTGCACACATACTATACTATAAATGGACTCCTCTAGTCCTTTAACTCCTTGAGGGCTGTGATAGACCTTATTTAACTTTGTACCCTCTTTGCCAGTGGTCTTAACATAGTGCAGGCACGGTATGTGTTTGAATTGGGTAAATTACTTTTACTGCCTAGTGGTAGCTGGTGTACACAGGAGAGGGCCACCAACTCTGGGGACTTGTCCAAAATGACAATTCACTTGCAGATCTCTGATGAAATTTACTTTAAAAGGATTTCTAACCTTTTTTTTAATCTGTCGGTTATTTTTTGAAAAGAAGTGGGGCTTAACTAGTGCTCTAAGGATTTTAACAAGAGATTCCGATTTAGAAATCTGTCCCCCCTTTTGGTGAAATTCTTATTTTTTTTAGAGTCAGAATCTTCACTGTTGCCCAGTTGTCTCCCCGGGACCCAAGCCGTCTTCCCACCTCAGCCTCCCACAGTACTGGAATTACAGGCGTGAGCCACCCCACCCAGCTGGTGAAATTATTAAAATTGTAGTGAAAACTCTGCCTCCATTGTGAAATTGGAAAAAAATTAGAAATTTTAGAAAAAAGTACGCCCTTTGGAGCTAGGTAGAGTTCACATCCCCACATTTCCATTGAGTAGTTGCATAGCCTCTCAGAGCTTCAGCTTCCTACTCCTTAAGGGTTAGTAACATGCTTTGCAGTGTTGTTAGGAATCAGTGAAACTGTGTGAGATACTTAACTGCAGTATCTAACATGGAGTAGGTAGCTATTTCCTGGTAGCTGTAATGATAATAATTTTGATACGTTTTTACATGACTTAAGCATTCTGAAAAGTCTGATGCTTCTGAGTATGGAGGCTTAGCTATTTCTTTCATAAAGAAGGGGCCCTGAGACTTGTGAGTCTTATCCAAATGCATTTCTTCAAAGGTGTCAGATGAACTGAAGGATAATGGAAACAATAGCAAATTTATCTTCTCAGTCACCTGTGAGTCTTCCTTTGAGAGTGGGACTTGCAGAGTACTTGGTAGGGTAGAGCTCTTTGTGACTATGCTATTTAGGAAATGGTGAGAGATGGATTGTTTTCAGTACATCAGTCATAAGAGGATATGAGTGAGTTCCAACTTTCCTTATTTTACCTTAGTCTTGACAAATAACAAGTATGGATTATGTCTGTATTTCTCCGACTTGTTTAAGGTAGAACTG
>NW_003315944.2:300000-388773 GCF_000001405.40 Homo sapiens | reverse complement strand
GAATTCACTCAGGAATCCTTGTACAGTGCCCAGCCGCTTTTGCTATCACAAGATCAACTTGGGGAGAGGGCAGTGAACTGAAGTCACTTTGATCCCCTTCCATTTCTACAAACAAGACCCACTTGGAGAGGGCAGTGAGGCTGGGAGGTGTTGTGGGTGAGAATAGTCTTCTTCGTTCCACTCCTTTTCCTACCTGTGAGGAATGAGGCTGTATCCTCCAGCTTAGGATCCTCTCTTAAAGACTTCATACCAGGTGATGGGAAGCCTGGCGTTTTGTGAAGATTTGAATTTTAAATAGAATGTCATCATCATCAGAGGCCTCCTTCATTGTGCGTCTGGCTGCTGTGATCAAGCCCAGGAGAGTGGGAGGCTGTGGGTATTTGCTGCTCATCTTCCATGTGGAATTGTGACAGAGTCAGAGCTGTGATTCAGGAACCTCCTCTGATTGCAGTGTTTGCATGGGGGATGCAGAGGGCTTTCCTTTTCACTTTTTTTTTCTATTAAATGTGACATTTTTAAGAGATATCATTAAAAAATATTCTTCCTCCCTGAAGAGAAAGGGCTTGGATCTTAGATATCTTTCACTGAAACCATAAGGCTCTTGTCATGTTTACCATTTAAGCCTTCAGGGCCTTATCTTTTCTGTCCTGGAGAACGGAAAGCATTTTGATCCCCTTCCAGTTCTACAGACAATGTTCTTTAATCAGCTGGAGGCATCACTGTTGATCAGACAACAGTACTTCCCCCTCCGTGAAGCTAAAAGCACCTGCCAATCTGAGCAAGAGAGAAGGGGTGTTCTTTGAGCGCACAGAGCATTGTTATTTCAAATATACATGAAACTATAGAAAACAACCTGAAACCCATTGTTTTTTAATAGACGCCGAGGGTAGTGGCATTTACTAGACTTGAAAACAATGCCATGAATTTGCATATTCACCAAATGCATTTATTGATTTATGGCTAGTGTGATATTTGTGATATTGAAAATGTAGTGTTTCATTTCCTTTGTCACTAAGTTCATCGTCTTAATGAAAATGTAAAAAGGAAAAATGACTAAATAGGAAGTAAAATTGTATTGTTAGTAATATTGTTGATACCGGGTGTGGTGGCTCACACCTGTAATCCCAGCACTCTGGGAGGCCGAGGTGGGTGGATTACTTGAGTCCAGGAGTTCCAGACCAGCCTGGGCAACATGGGAAAACCCCCATCTCTACTAAAAAAATACAAAAATTAGCCGGGCATGGTGGCGGGCACCTGTAATTCCAGCTACTTGGGAGGCTGAGGCAGGAGAATCACTTGAACTTGGGAAACGGATGTTGCAGTGAACTGAGACTGCACCATTGCACTCCAGCCTGGGCAACAAGAGTGAAACTCCGTCTCAAATAAAGAAAAAAAAAAAAAGAAACGCTATCTCTACAAAATACAAAAAAATTAGCTAGGTATGGTCGTGCATGCCTGTAGTCTCAGCTACTCGGGAGGCTGAGATGGGAGGATTGCTTGATCCTGAGGAGGCCAAGGCTGCAGTGAGCAGTGACTGTACCACTGCACTCTAGCCTGGGTGACAGAGTGAGACCCTGTCTCAAAAACAAACAAACAAAACCAAAACAAAAAACAAAGTAATATTGTTGATTAATACTGAGCAGGCTGTAATAAACCACACTTTTCTCTGTCAAAATACTTGTATTAAGCTTTCTTTAGTTTTATATATATATATATATATTCTATATATAAAAATACATATGATATCAGTTATATATACTCAGTTGTGATTGGTTGGGTTATACTGCAGTAGCAAAAAGCCCTGTCTCTGTGGTTTTAAACAACAAAGGTTTATTCCTCACTCATGCAATATGTCCCTCTGCTCTGTTGAGCTCACCAGGAGACCTAGGCTGATGGTGAGCACCCTCTCAGTGCTTCTGCAGTTGCTTGGCAGGGGAAAAAGAATGAGGCAAACTAAGCACAAGCTTCCCATAGGAAATGACACAAGTGACCTGCTCACAGTACTAGCCAAAGCAAGTTACTTGGGCACACCCAATTCCAATGGTAGCAGGTGGAGAGCCAGAAATCCTTGGTGAACACATAGATATGTATTATAATGTGTAGATTGAAAAGGGGAGAAATAGCTTCAACTGTAGCCAAGCAAGTCAACTTTGATTTATTATTGTAATATTGTTACATTCATAAGTTTAGAATTAATGAAAACAATGACATAGGCAATGTTCATAGAATATACTGCAGTTAATGAGGAGGATAAGGCAGATCTTTATGTTCAGACATGCAAATATCCCCAAGAAATACTGAATTTTAAAAAGAGCAAGTAGCAGAATACTATGATCTCATTTATTTAAAAAGCACATAAAATATATATAAACATTTGTGTGTCTGTGTGAAGTCCATAGTAAAAGGCCTAGAAACACTTACTATTCATGGCAGAATAGAATGGGATTTGTGTAGCATGTAGGGGACTTGCTCCCATTTTACTTGGTGTAATCCTGTATTGTTTGAATTAATTACATTCTACATTTATCATGTATTACTTGTTGTATTGGTTTCCTGGGCTGCTGTAACAAATTACCACAACTTGAGAAGGCAGGAATTTAATGCTTTGACAATTCTGGGGGCCGGAAGTCCAAAATCTGGCAGGACTGTGCCCCTCCAAAGGCTCTGAATGAGAACCTGCTCCTTGCCTCTCCCAGCTGCAGGGCTGTCAGCACTCCTAGACTTGCGGCCACATCACTCAAACCTCTACCTCCCTGGTAACATTGCTTCTTCCTCTTCTGTGTGTCTGTGTGTCTCCCTTTTATAAAGGCACTCACCCACCCAGAGAATCCAGTGACCTTCTCATCTCAACATCGTCAACTTTGTTGTATCGCAAAGACCTTTCTCCAAATAAAGTCTTATTCACAGATTCTGGAGATTAGGATGTGGACACAAGTATTTGAAGTAGGGGCATCATTCAACCCACAATACTTGTGTAATGTGAGAAAATTTTTAAAAGGAAAGATAGAAAAAATAAATCATCAACAGTGATTACTTTCACAGCTGGGTGCGGTGGCTCATGCCTGTAATCCTGGCACTTTGGGAGGCCGAGGTGGGTGGATTGCCTGAGCTCAGGAGTTCGAGACCACCCTGGGTCACATGGTGAAACCCGACTCTACTAAAATACAAAAAATCAGCTGGGGTTAGTGGTGCACACCTGTAGTCCCAGCTACTCGGGAGGCTGAGGCAGGAGAATCGCTTGAGCCTGGGAGGTAAAGGTTGCAGTGAGCTGAGATCGCACTACTGCACTCCAGCCTGGGGACAGAGCAAGACTCTGTCTCTAAAAACAACAACAACAACAGTAACAAAAACCAGTGATTACTTTTAGGAGAGAAAAATCTCCAAATTTGCTCTTAGTGAACCTATGTAACATTTATAATCAGAAGAAAACAGAGACAAAAACAGCGGAGCAATAATAAATCCCCACGACCACCACAAAAGCAGAACATAGGCAGGTCCTAATTTGCACACACCCTGTGAACCAATGACCTAGACACACCAGGAAGGAGTGGAGAGGTCACGTCCTCAAACTCAGCGAGGGGCCTTGAGTTCTTAGAACCACAGAGACATTAGCCTTCTCTCACACAAGGTAGTGCCTTACCTTGGGGATAGTGCCCAGGAAGAGTCAGAAGAGGGGAAAATGCTTTTCTGGTGTTGAGTTGTAGAAATTAAAATGCATTTTCTCCACAGAAGCAACATTATTGAGCAGAGTTTGCAAGACTGGCCCAATTTCAGCTTACTGATAGATCTTGTTTCATTTGCACTGTGTTGAAACTTTTTTCTAATTAATTGCCAACTATTTCACATAAAAATTCGGGTTTTGGCTTCTCCCAATGTGCCGCATTGGGTCCGCATTCTCCCAGGGCAACCATCCGATGCTGGAGCCTGGGGTGGCTGGTGGCCCCTTTTAGAAGCAGCCTGGAGTGGCTGGTGGCCCCTTTTAGATGCAATGTCCATCATGCCCTATGTTCCTGGTCTGACTCTCCTTGCTTATGTATTGTCCACCTGGCCACTTCAGGCATTCACATTTGCAAACCCCTCCTGAATAGAATAAAAATCACTTTGTGGTATTATAATGCAGTACATTAAGGGTTAAATGGGTTTGTGTAGGTTGGCTGGAAAACCCAGGCACTCTTGCTTTCAGGGAAAAACACTTCTAAGTTCCAAATAGCCAACCCATGAACTTGAAGCCTGCGACCTGTTCATCAATTGGTGACTCCTCAGTAGTGATGTTTTATAGTCTGCCTAAACAAGTAATAGAAAATGCACATCCGTGTATGCACTCAGATATCAGAAATTCAGTTCCATGGGCTATTTGGGAACGAAGTTTCAAAATTGTGCCATGGATGATTATATTGCCTTGGCCTGTGTCTGTGCACAGTGGGGCATGTGTGTACCCGGGGGGAGGGGGGTAAGGATGTGCTTTTGCAATATGAGGGCAGGGCCTGTCTTCCTAACCCCAATTGTGGAGATTAATGAGTCACGAGCCAAAATTAGCCTCCACCTTATTGGGTTAAAACCTGGGACCTTCATGAAATCTTGCTGGAAGCTACCTTGACTTGTGGCAGGCATTTCTAGAAAAGCTCTTGAATTTTTCACTGGAGCTGAGCCGTAGGTCAGAGGAGGTGGGATGCTTGCCCTGGGTCATGGAGAGTGTTGCCTCAATGGGGGCTAAAGCCTTTTGGAAGTCAGTGAAGAATGTTCGTAAGGTTCCCGTCTCCTAAATTAATAAATATTTAGTGAGCACTTACTCTGTTCAGGGTACTAGGCTAGGGTACATAAAAAATTAAAACCTGGATGGTGCTTGCAGACCAAAAAAATTCCAACCCGACGGGGATGTGGGGAAAGAGACAAAACGTTAAGTAATAGCACAATGTTATGTATAACAGATGAGATGTCACAGGTAGTGAGTGACAAATTGCCAGAAGAATGGTAGAGACTCTGTATTGTGCATTCAGGGAAGAGAAATATTTCAGGCAGGGTGAGACCAAGCAGTGGAGATGGTGACTAAACCGTGTCTAGGCAGAGCAGAAATTGTAACAGCAGCAGATATGTGGCAATGGGAAAATGGAAGGTGGCTTTGGCTGTGACAGAGGGTTAGGTTAGAAAGTTTCAGGCAGGAGGACTGGGGAGAGTCTCAAATGGCAGGATGTGTCCTGTAGGCACTGGGGAACCCTGGAAAGCTTTTGAGCCGAGGAATGGTATGATCCAAGTAGTGTATTAGAAGATCAATCTGGAGGTGATGCCAGGGTGATCTGGAAGGATGAAGGGAATGAGAGAATAAGGGGAAGCTTCTGCAGAGGAGAAATGACTTAAGCATGAGAAGGCCAGAAGGGCTTGAAAAGAAAGGATGGAGGGGAGAGAAGTCCTAAGGACTTGGCGGAAGACAGATTGCAATGAGTGGAGGGGGCGCAATAGCAGCAGCAGCAGCAGCAGCAACAGCATATGAGGCATGGATGACTCTAGGTTTGGAGCCAGAAACTAGGACAATGGTGGTGCCACTAGCTTAAGGAGCCAAGTGTGGAGAGAGGTCCTTTGGGAGAGGGCAAGAAGAGCAGACTGTTTTGAGTCCTGCTTAGAGGCCCTGATGGGGCATCCAGATGATCCAGTGGCGCCATCTTGGTCACTGCAGCCTTCATTTCCCAGGCTCAGATGATACTCCTGCCTCAGCCTCCAGAGTAGCTGGGACTACAGGCATGCACCACCATGCCCGGCTAAATTTTGTATTTTTTCTAGAGACAGCAGTGATCCAGTTCCAGTCCCACTTCCTCAACTGCCGGCTGGTGGTTTCCACCTGCATGTGCTCATCTCTTTACTCATGCCCTAAGGACTCAACACCAGTGCCTGATAGGATCTACTGAGGATGCTGAAACTCACTTGATAGATGTTCAAGCTCCCCACGCCTTCTCCAGCTGGTGGTCAGTATTCTTAGGTCCAGCATACCACCCACCAAGCATCCTTGCCCGACTGACTAAGTGTTTTGTACCTGGACAATTCAAAAGGGAATGCGGAGGTTGCTCTAGCCTGTATCTCCTCCTCTGGGCAGACCCATATCTCTGGGATTCCACCAGCTCTTCTGACTATGCCTCCTGTGTTCCCCACTCCCCGCTGTCAGGAAGCCCTTCCTTTTGCCCACTTTACATCACTCACATTGACGTTTGACCTCCACATGGAATTCCAATGTGCCCCCGTTTTGTGACCAGGACTAGGCCCCCTTGACATCTACGAGCTCATGTGTACATGGGGTAACTCTGATAAAGCCAGCATTATTATGCTTCTGCTGAATACTCATTTATTATTGCAGTGCCTCCACCAGAACAGAGGAAAGCAAAGAAATTTGCACCCTGACCATCTGGGTTTGTTGCTAAACGCAAAGACAAAATCAGGAAGTGAAGCCCATGCTTAGGTACAATTGAGGCTGTATAGTTTAGCAGGATTCCCAGTAAGCCAGTCCTTATTGCCTTTCATTCTTCCTATTCCTTTGTCCTCTTCAATTTCTCCCCTTTGAGCATCAAGTCCCTTTTCTCTGCCCTTTGTGCTCTCTCCACTTCGATCCGCGTCTTCCTTCTTTGTCCCACAGCCAGTCTGCATTGATATTCATGCCAAAAGAATGACCCAGTCCGTTCTGTGGTAGCAATCCGAGACTGGTGACTGGTGCAACTGCTGGAATATATAAACATGACTCTTTTTCAGGTAGCATCTGGGATGCCAGTCTTAGCAGCCTCATTTAAAAAATTATTTATATTCACAAAAGTCTATAATAGCATTTTTATTGTGTACACCTGTGATTTGGGTGCATTTTTTTCCCCATGCCAGCTTCTTATTATTGTTCAACACTGACTACAGCCTTAAATGATAATGAAAACAGAAGCACTCTTTCTAAAAGGAATGACTGCTTTCCCCGTCCTTTAGTATATATGTGCTCCCTGCCTGAAGGGGATGGTTTAGTGTTTAGACGGCCGCTCCCGACTGCCTCCAAAACCAAGTTCACATCCTTGCAGCATTGACTCGGTCTTTTATTCTTCTACAGAGAATAAATTGAATACTAGGCTATTTTGTGTGTGGGTGTCTTTCAGATGAGACCTTAAAACCCAAAAGCTGTCTGTGGCTACTGGAGATGCTGAAGTTCTTGTCCTGCTGTCCTTGCCCTGGGTTCCAGAACCTGGCCTGGCCACACATGTCACACACTCACTTTACATTTTTTTATGTTTTGTTTTGAGACAGGGTCTCACTCTATTGCCCAGGCTGGAGTACAGTGGCGCTACCTTGGTCACTGCAGCCTCGACCTCCCAGGCTCAAATGATACTTCTGCCTTAGCCTCCAGAGTAGCTGGGACTACAGGCGTGCACCACCATGCCCGGCTAAATTTTGTGTTTTCTGTTTTTCTTTTTTTTGAGATGAAGTCTAGCTCTGTCGCCCAGGCTGGAGTGCGGTGGCACGATCTCGGCTCACTGCAACCTCCACCTCCTGGGTTTAAGCGATTCTCCTGCCTCAGCCTCCTGAGTAGCTGGGATTACAGGCGTGCACCACCATGCCCAGCTGATTTTTGTATTTTTAGTAGAGATGGGGTTTTACTGTGTTGGCCAGGCTGGTCTCAAACTCCTGACCTCGTGATCTGCCGGCCTCAGCCTCCCAAAGTGCTGGGATTACAAGCGTGAGCCACTGCGCCCGGCTAATTTTGTGTTTTTTCTAGAGACAGGGTTTCACCATGTTACCCAGGCTGGTCTCAAACTCGTGGGCTCAAGCAATCCACCCGCCTCAGCCTCCCAAAGTGCTGGGATTACAGGTGTGCACCACTGTGCCTAGCCCACACACTCACTTTTGAAGAGAGCTGTTTATTTGGGCCTTTATTCCCTCAGTTCCTGTGGTTTCTTTGCTTCTGTGACATGACCTGCTACTTTCACCCCTTGGTTTTCCAGTGCATTAAAAAATCAAGCAACAAAACAATTTCCCTTAGAGTCAAAGTGCTACAAATATAAGCTTGTTATCTGTATTCCATTATGATGAATAACTCACCAACCCTCATGCCATGTGTATGATTGACTTGCAATTATGTGTTGTATTTTACAGCACCTCCGAATGGTATTCTCCCTTGGCTGTTCCTCAAGCCAAGCCTGGAACCCCTGGGTCAAATGAGAATGGGTGGATTTTATAGACTCCAAGGATTTTATTTTCCCCGAGCCTAGATATTAGGTCTGTAATTAGCGATGCAATAATAATACCTTTTACTTGCCATTTTATGCCTTTTCAAAAATGTGTTTCATGTTTTTGTGATTAATTTTCACAAAAATTTCTTTGGCATAGGCAGGACAGATATAATGGGCTGTCTGATTTTACAGCTAAGGGACAGTCAAGGCAAGGTTCAATGACTTGCCCAAGTTCCTTCAGCAAATCTAAGACAGACCTGGGACTGGAACCGGATTTTGTAATTTCAAGGTGGTGGTTTTTCTGTGGCCACTGCGTGTGTAACAAACTCAAGACAATTGTAGTTACATTCAAGTTTTCATCTGATCCTGTGATGACCTTACAGGACAGGGTGAGCAGGTATTATCATCCTCATCTTTCAGATCAGGAAGGAGAACTCCAGAGAGATGGGGTTACTAGGGCAATATGGTAATTAAACAAAAGAGGAAGGACTTAATTCCAAGGCTCCAAGTCTGCAGCTTTTGGTGATGCTTTGCTGCCTGATTAATGCCTGAGACCACCACTCATTCAGTGGCTTTGGCCCAAAACTTAGACTCATCCTTGACTCCTTTTTTCCTCTTACTTCATATCTGACCCATCAGCAAATCTCACAGATTCTATCTTTAAAATATATTTCAAATCAACCATTTCTTATCACCTTCGCTGCTATTAGCCTGCTCTAATCCTTCATTCTTTGTCACCTGGATTGCTGCAGTGGTCTCCTGTATGGCTGGACTACAAAGATGGTCCTCAATGAAGCAGTCCTCAAGGACTGCTTGTACAACATGGACATCTCAGCTCACCTGTGACTCATTTTAGCCCGTAGAATGTGGAGGATGTGATGCTGTGTGTTTCTGACCTAAGTATTGAGAAGGATTTTATACTTCTGAGACCCCTGAGCTACCTGTATGAAGTCTAGGTACTAGTATCTCTGCCAGAGATTCTAAGTGAAGAGACCACATGAAGAGGAAGAGGCCTCAGACTGCATGGAGTGAGAGAGTCCCAGCTGAGCCCAACTTTTTACTGCCCCCATAACTTTTTACTGTCCCCTGGTGGAGCAGAAGAACCACCTAGCTGAGCCCTACTGACCTGTAGAATAATAAGAGATAATAAAATGGTGGTTGTTTTAAGACACTTAGTTTTGGGTTAGTTTTTTACATAGCAATAGATAACTAAAACATCTAAGGGGTCTCCCTAATTCCACACTTGTCACCAATCTATTTTCCAGAAGATTTAAAAAAATTGTGGTAAAATACTCATAACATAAAATTCACCATCTTAACCTTTTTTCTTTTCTTTTCTTAGAGACAGGGACTTACTGTGTTGTCTAGGCTGGAGCGCAGTGGCTCTCTACAAGTGCAATTACAGCACACTATAGCCTCAAACTCCTGGGCTCAAGTGATGCTCCTGCCTCAACCTCCCAAGTAGCTGGGACTAAAGGTGTGCACCACTGTGCCTGGCTTCACCTTAACCTTTTTTTTGGTTTTGTTTTTTATTTTTTTTGAAATGGAGTCTTGCTCTGTGGTCCAGCCTGGAGTGCAGTGGCATAATCTTGGCTCACTGCAACCTCACCCTCCCAAAGCTGTAAGCTGGATTATAGGCATGTGGCACCACGCCTGGCTAATTTTTGTATTTTTAGTAGAGACAGGGTTTTGCCACGTCTGCCAGGCTGGTCTCGACCTCCTGACCTCAGGTGATCTGCCCACCTCGGCCTCCCAAAATGTTGGGATTACAGACATGAGCCACTGCACCCAGCCACCTTAACCATTTTTAAGTATAGTTCAGTATTGTTAAGTATATTCACATTATTGTGCAACCAATCTCCAGAACACTTTTCATCTTGCAAATCTGAAACTCTGTATCTGTTAAACAATAACTCCCCATTTTCCCCTCTCTCCAGGCCCAGCAACCACCATTCTACTTTCTTTTTCTATGAACTTAACTCTTAAATTCCTCACTTAAGTGGAATTATACAGTATTTGTCTTTTTGTGACTGGCTTATTTCATTTAGCATAATGTCCTCAAGGTTCACCCATGTGTCAGAATTTTCTTCCTTTTTGTTTTTCGTTTTTGAGACAGAGTCTCACTCTATTGCCCAGGCTGGAGTACAGTGGCACGATCTTGGCTCACTGCAACCTCCGCCTCCCGGGTTCAAGTGATTCTCATGCCTCAGCCTCCCAAGTACCTAGGACTACAGGTGCGCACCACTAAGCCGGGCTAATATTTTGTTATTTTTAGTAGAGATGGGGTTTTGCCATGTTGGCCAGGCTGGTCTTGAACTCCTGACCTCAAGTGATCCGCCTGCCTCTGCCTCCCAAAGTGCTGGGATTACAGGTGTGAGCCACCACGCCCAGCAGTTTTCTTCCTCTTTAAGACAAATAATATTCCAGGCCGGCTGTGGTGGCTCACGCCAGTAATCCCAGGACTTCGGGAGGCCGAGGCGGGTGGATCATGAGGTCAGGAGATCGAGACCATCCTGGCTAACATGGTGAACCCCATCTCTACTAAAAATGCAAAAAATTAGCCAGGCATGGTGGCTAGTCCCAGCTACTTGGGAGGCTGAGGCAGGAGAATGGCGTGAGCCCGGGAGGCGGAGCTTGCAGTGAGCCGAGATCACGCCATTGCACTCCAGCCTGGGCAACGGGGCGAGACTTCGTCTCAAAAAAAAAAAAAAATAAGTAAATAAAAATAAATAAATAATATTCTATTGTATGGATAGAGCACATTTTGTTTATTCATGCGTCTGTCGATTGACACTTTGGGTGGTTTCCACCTTTTGGCTATTGTGAGTAATGCTGTTGAGAACATGGGTATACACATATCTCTTCAAGACTCAGCTTTCCATTTTCTTAGGTATATACCCAGAAGTAAAATTGCTGGATTATATTGTAATTCTATTTTCAATTTTTTAAGGAACCACCATATGCAGAAGACTTTAAAACATACATTTTGTCACTCCCTTGCTCAGAACACTCCACTGACTTTTCATTCCTCTTAGAACAACATCCAAGACCCCTTCTTATGGCCTGCGAGGCCTCATATAACCAGGCCCATAGCTACCTCATCAATTTCATTTCCTGCCATTCTTCCCCCTCCCTCTGCTTGAGCCATTTTTAGCATCTTGCTGTTCCTTGTCACCCCAAGCATGACCCTGCCTCAACGATTTTGCACTTGTTATTCCCTTTGCCAAAAATGCTTTTCTCTGGTTATTAACATGACTTGTGCCCTCACTTCATTCAGGCCTCTGCTCAAATGTCGTCTCCTTCAGAGAGGCCTTCGCTAACCACTCAATCTAAATAGCACCCCCTATCATCTCTATGTCCTTCTTTTATTTTTATTTTTATTTTTTTGAGACAGAGTCTTGCTCTGTCGCCCAGGCTGGAGTACAGTGGCGCTATCTCGGCTCACTGCAACTTGTGCCTCCCAGGTTCAAGAGATTCTCCTGCCTCAGCCTCCTGAGTAGCTGGGACTACAGGGGTGCACCACCACGCCTGGCTAATTTTTGTATTTTTATTAGAGACGGGGTTTCCCCATATTGGCCAGGCTGGTCTCAAACTCCTGACCTTGTGATCTGCCCACCTTGGCCTCCCAAAGTGCTGGGATTACAGGCGTGAGCCACCACACCTGGCCCCTCTATGTCCCTCTGTTTTTAAATTTATTTTAATTTTTTTGGATACAGGGTCTTGTGCTGTTGCCCTAGGCTGGAGTGCAGTGGCACAATCATGGAGTGCAGCCTCGACCTCCCGGCCTCAAGAAATCCTCCCACCCCAGCCTCCCAAGTAGTGCCACACCTGGTTAGGTTTTTTTTTTTTTGGTAGAGATGGGGTCTTCCTATGTTGTGCAGGCTGGTCTCGAGTCCCTGGACTCAAACGATCCTCCCACCTCAGCCTCCCAAAGTCCTGGGATAATAAGCGTGAGCCACTGTGCCAGGCCCCTTTATTTTTAATTCATTCCCTTATCTCTACCTGATAAGTGGAGAATTTATATTAATCACACACACACATAATAGTACTAACTATGTGCCTGCTTTGGTTCTAAACACTTTACATATATTGACATAATTATCTTTTTTTTTTCTTTTTTATTTGAGATGGAGTCTTGCTCTGTCGCCCACGCTGGAGTGCAATGGCGCGATCTCAGCTCACTGCAACCTCCACCTTCCAGGTTCAAGTGATTCTCCTGCCTCAGCCTTTCAAGTAGCTGGGATTACAGGTGTGTGCCACCACGCCCAGCTAAATTTTGTAGTTTTAGTAGGGATGGGACTTCACCATGTTGGCCAGGCTGATTTCGAACTCCTGTCCTCAAGTGATCCCACCCGCCTCAGCCTGCCA
Organism: Homo sapiens; assembly: GCF_000001405.40. Lineage (NCBI taxonomy): Eukaryota > Metazoa > Chordata > Mammalia > Primates > Hominidae > Homo > Homo sapiens. The sequence goes on along the minus strand of NW_003315944.2, from coordinate 376,219 downwards.
AAGTGCTGGGATTACAGGCATGAGCCACCACGCCTGACCTGACATAACTATCTTAACAGCAGCTCTGTGGATTAGGTATTATTATTATTATCCCCATTTTACAGATAAGAAAAATAGACATCAAACGTTAAATAAGTTCTCTAAAGTTCAACAGCTAGTAATTGACAAAGGTGGGGTTTGAACCGAGGCAGTTGGGATCCAGAATTATATTATATTATATTATTATTATATTATATTATATTATATTATATTATTATTATGCGCTTCTCATTATAAATGTATATTATGTGTAAGATATGCATATGTTATGTATGCGTTTGTTTATTGTCTGTCTCCCACATTGGGTGTAAGATCCATGAGGGCAGGAACTTTATTCTGTTTACTTTCCCCCAAGGGCTTGGAACAATGCCTGGCACATACTGTATTAGGTTTTCAATAAACACATGTTGAATGAATGAATGGGTTAGATTCTTTGTATATTGGGGGGGGAAAGGCTCTCAGTTGTTTTTCCCCATGAATTTGCTTGTGTCTGAAAAGAACGGTTAGCTGAGTAGAGAGTAGATGCTCAGTAATTATTTATTCAGTGAATCGTATTTGAACTCCTTGAAGATCAAGCCCTGTGTCTGTGTTCTTTCTGTGTTTCCCTTGCCCTCTGCTGACTCTCAAAGCTTTGTTGTTACTGTGGAAGAGAACAAAGAATATATTTGTTGAGAAAATTTAGCCTACTGTGTTGTGACAGTGAGTAGGTGCGCTTGTTTTTGCAGAAGTAGCTACAGGAAAACCAAATGTGCAAATTCCAGACCAAAGGCTGTGTGGAGGAGAAACCACTTTCAGAATCTTTTATTTTTATCTTTTTAAATCCTGCACATCAAAAGCATCATTTTTCATGAGATTTAGTGTCAACTTGTGCAGTGTTTCAGAAAACACCTATGAATTTCCTCATCATTCGTCTCCTCTTAAAGAACTCCCATAATGTAAAGCATGTTGACCCCTCTCAAACTTTTGGAAGAACTGAGACTTCAGAGGTCCACACAGTGCCTCACATGGAGAAATCACTCCATAAACTAAGCTAATGCTGAATTTTCTTCTTCCTCTTCTTCTTCCTCTTCTTCTTCTTCTTCCTCTTCCTCTTCTTCTTCTTCTTCCTCTTCCTCTTCCTCCTTCTCGTCCTCCTCCTCTTCTTCTTCTTCTTCCTATTATTTTTTGAGACAGACTCTCGCTGTCACCCTTGCTGGAGTGCAGTGGGGTGATCTCAGATCATTTCAACCTCCGCCTCCCCGGTTCAAGCAATTCTCCTGCCTCAGCCTCCAAAGTAGCGGTAACTACAGGCATGCGCCACCATGCCCAACTAATTTTTGTATTTTTAGTGGAGACGGGGTTTCACCATGTTGGCCAGGCTGGTCTTGAACTCCTGACCTCAAGTGATCTGCCCAACTAGGCCTCCCAAAGTGCTGGGATTACAGGTGTGAGCCACCGTGCCCAGCCGATCTTATTATTTTTTAAATCACAATTAACAGGTGAGGGATGAATGAATGATTTTGTTATGCATTCTCTTAAGAAATAGCTGCCAGGAACTCAATCCCATGATTGGTTAGCTTTCTAACTGGGATCCAGCTGTGGGTCACCATATTACTTTTTTTTCTCTAATTTTATTTTATTTTGATTTTTTTTGAGACAGGGTCTCGCTGTGTCGCCCAGGCTGGAGTGCAGTGGTGTGATCTCAGCTCACTGCAACCTCTGCTTCCCGGGTTCAATCAGTTCTCCTGTCTCAGCCTCCTGAGTAGCTGGGATTACAGGTGTGCTCCACTGCACCCAGCTAATTTTTGTATTTTTAGTCGAGATGAAGTTTCACCATGTTGGCCAGCTGGTCTGGCTTCAAGTGATCTGCCTGCTTCCGCCTCCCAAAGTGCTGGGATTACAGGTGTGAGCCACCGCGTCCAGCCTTTAATTTTAAATATGCTTAGGAGAATCTTCCCAGCTACTTTTTTCACCAGACTGTCATCAAAATGCATGTCAAAAGAAGACCAGTGTCTATTGAAGAATGGCAGCAATGCATTAAAAGCTACCCTGGTGGCCTTAAAGACTTAACGCAGCTTTTAAAAATGACTAATTTATTCACTGGGCTTCTCCAAATCACCTTGCACAGTGGATCACATTATACAGAAAAGTAGATGGAAGCCACATATAATAGGCGATGGCTGGGCTGCGTTATGACCTTATTTTCACTGATAAAGACAAATCTCATAACTCACTGGTAGCAATGTCAGTCCTTTATCTTGCCTTGGACTCATGAGGATACAAGTCACATCCACCGAGCCTGCTCCAAGTGTGACAAGGAAACTCAGGCAGCCAATCGTCACAGAGGTGATTCATTCATTTGCATCCAGAAATCCTGTTGGTTAGAAAGCAATAAAAGCGTTTGGGCTTCTTTTTTCTCCCCCACTCTATAAAAAGTGGCTCACTCTGGTGAAATATACGCCTTCACTCATCTTGCAGAGCTGCTGTAAAAAATAACATTTGGCAGTGGGAAGTGGGACTTTTGCTTGAGGAACTGATGTGTATATATAATATTTGTACATTTCTTAGATGGCCATGGACACTTGTCAATGCTTTCGTGTTCCAAAGACTTGTACAGATAAAATTTACTATGGTGTGGGTCTTGAGTTTTAAAGTGTATGAGAGGATTCGTAAAGTGTGAGGTTGCATGATGAGGTGATAAGAAAAACAAGGCGACTGGAGCAGTAGAGTGGTGACATTAAGTGAAGCATTTAGTTTGACTCACACGTGAGTCGTGAGAAAGCACGGTGCTTTCTTTCGCCATGCACCCTGCCTGCTCTAGCTCTGTCTCAGAGTCCTGGTTGTTCATGTCTGTTTCTGCTCTCTGCCTGGTTCTTTGAACCCTGACTTTGGCCACAGAGGGTCATGCAACCCAGCCAGGGCCTTGGAACGCTGAACAGATTCCAGAAGACCTGACGTAGTAGCCCAAGGAAAATGGAGACATAGTGTTGGAGATGGAGGTGGAGGTGGGGCTGTGGAGTGTCCCTGAGTGGCTAAAGGCTGGTTCCTCTGCTGGGGCACAAATCTGTGGGGGAGCCTAGATGTTTATTTTCAAAGCAGATGCTGGATCTTCCTTTACACTTTGTGCTGTGCTAAGTAAAATGTTGGTACTGGATAAATGTTAATAATAGCAGCCATAACGATGATAATAGAAATGTAGTAGCTTCACCCCCTGTATGCCAAGAGAGCTTCAGAGACTTAAGCATTTCTTATGATTGACATTAACATGCCCAGGGGCAGGGTCCTTGTCCAGCAGACTCTGCCCCTCGGTGTTTTTCCTACTCTCCCGGTTGCTTAGAAAGGCTGTGGGAGGTAGGCAAGAGGTCCTAGAGGCCAGGGCTTCCTGCATATTCATCTTCAGAACAGTCACTCTGAGAACCTCATGTGACTTGTCTGTCAATCAGACCCCTCTGTCCAACGAGATCCTTTAAAGAAACAATAATGATACCTTCATTTTAATTATTCTTTCTCTCTTTTCTTCTTCTTTTTTTTTTTTTGTCTCACTTCAGGATTGCACCTTTTAAATAAACTATACCAGAGTTTCTTCCGTCTCCTCTTGCTCATAATTAATGACAGTGGGGGGTATACTTGGTCTTATTTTCTTATTTAATTACACTGATTTTGGCTTAAAACAGGACCCATTTAAGTACTGAAAAGATGTATTTTCTGATTCAGTGAGGGTTTTTCCCTCCCATACTTTGGAAGATAACATAGCTCTGAGATGGCCCAGGTCTGGGCACCAAACCTAACTAAGCTTGCCTTGCTCTGGATGAAGGATAATAAGCCTCAGTGAGGACTCCAGCTCCTGCAGGAGAGAGCCCTGTGTCCTCTAGAGGACTGGTGTTTTGCCAAAAGTAGCAGCCATCATGGTTGGAAGTCAAAGTTGGGATGGCAGCTCCAGGAAATGTCCCAAGGGAATGCAGTAGTGGCTGTCTCCAAAGGTGAATGGTCTACTGGTTGCTCTTTCTTGCCCACCATAGCACCTGGCCTGACAGTCATTATATGCCATTTCCCTTCCTCCTCCTTTTCCTTTTAGATTCTGGTCCAGCATTGTGTTCTTGGGGTACTGCCACTTCTTCCTAGAGTCCATGTGATTCAATGGTAAAAAATATGAGCATTGGAGGCCAAGACCTTGGTTTGAGTCCCAGCTTGGCCAATTGCTGGTGAAGCAGTCTTGGGCAAATGACATACCCTTTGAACTCTGGGGTCCTCTTCTATAAAAGAGGGACATGATGTCTACTTGGCAGGGTGGTGGTTGGGAAGGGTGCATATGGTAATGGATCTAAGTGCAAAATGCCTCCTGGCATGAGGCAGGTTCTCCATTAATGTTTGTTGACCCTTTCTTTTGTAGGATATGTGTGAGTGAGTACCTGAAAGGGTGGGCAGATATTTGAAGGCTGAATGATAAAGATAATAATTCCTGACAACACACACACACACACACACACACACACACACACACACACACACACGTCTGTCCTATCCTCACTGTCCCCACCCATCCTTCTCTCATGATCCTTTTCCATTACCTCCAACTCCATAAGGTTTACCTTGATTATTTGGAGCCTACACTGATCCTTTCCAATTCTTTTGTACTCACTGCCTCCACCACATATCTAAACATTTCATTATGAGTCGTCATGGTTGGTATATGAAGATCTTTTCTCTCCAATAAGGTAAGCTCCTTGGGAAGCGACTGAGCATGATTCTTTTCCTTGTGTCCTTTGCAGCATCCAGCACAGTGCCAGGCGTGCAGTAAATGTTTCATAATTGATTGTTAAGTGCAGTGCCATTATCAGGCCTGCCTGATGGCAGAGAATGTATTTTATTTGTTTTTGTGTGTGTGTCTCCATAGGAGTTCACCCAGTTCACCAAGCACATAGGCACTCATAGGTACTCAATAAACATTTGTCAGATTAAAATTACCTTTTGCTGTGAGCCATTGACACAAAAAGTATACGAGAGACCTTGGTAGTAAAAGCTGAGTCTACAGAAGGTTCTGAAATGTCTGGGATTTGGGGAAGGCATATCTTCCTTTCTAGCAGTTTGTAAATCATGTCATGGTAGGGCAGAAGGAGCGCTGCAGAAGGAGCATTGCAGAGGGAGCTTGGGGACTTGGCTTTTGGTCTGAACTGAGCGCCTTATCTGTTATTGCCTCCTAGACTAGGTCTGGAACCAGGTGGCCCTGTGGCTTTTGGTAGAAATCACATCTCCTCTTGTCTCAGGAGCCCTTTGGAAATTTTTCACCTGTCAGTGACTCTATTGACAGCTCCTGTTTTGTTTTTTTTTTTCTGATAGATTTGAACTTAGCCCATTTGAATAGACAAAACTTCCAAGGAAATAGATTTCCGTTGGACTGGAAGTCAGTTATGCTGCCCCAAGAATATGAAATTAGGCTTCAGGGGAGGTGGTTAATTTTCTTTTTTTCTTTTTTTGAGATGAAGTCTCACTCTTGTCCCCCAGGCTGGAGTGCAATGGTGCGATCTCGGCTTACTGCAACCTCCGCCTCCCAGGTTCAAGCGATTCTCATGCCTCAGCCTCCCGAGTGGTTGGTATTACAGGCGCCTGCCACCACACCCGGCTAATTTTTTTGTATTTTTTAGTAGAGACGGGGTTTCACCATGTTGACCAGGCTGGTCTCAAACTCCTGACATCAGATGATCCGCCCGCCTCGGCCTCCCAAAGTGCTGGGATTACAGGCGTGAGCCACCACGCCCGGCCTAATTTTCAATTATCCATAGGTTGGAGGCAGCAGGGGGCCGCTTATCATGGAGTCACCCTGAGAAGGGTGACCAGGAAACTCAGCTAGATCCCCCCTCAGGGAAGCTTCTGCCCACTCCCCCCACCTGCTCTGAGGCTCTTTGTCCTTCTGCATGTGTGCACAGCTCTGGCTTCATGCCCTTCTGGGCCTCCAGCTGAGGGAACCCCCGTGGCTGGTGGTCAACATGTTCTCTGAACTTGAGAACTCAGTTCTGCAGGTCTGTGTGCCTGTGTCCCATTAACACAGTGAGTAGTACTACAGGAGCCATGAGATGTAGCCTTGTAGGCTGGGTTTAAGAAAAACAAAAGGCCAGTCACCGTGGCTCAAACTTGTAATCCTCACTCTTTGGGAGGCTGAGATGGGAGGATTGCTTGAGGCCAGGAGTTCAATACCAGCCCGGGCAACAAAAAATAAAAAAAATTAGGCTGGTATGGTGACACACACCTGTAGTCCCAGCTTCTTGCAAGGCTGAGTGAGGCCAGAGGATTGCTTGAGCCCAGGAGTTTGAGCTTACAGTGAACCAAGATTTCCCCACTGCACTCCAGCCTGGGTGACAGAGCAAGACTCTGTCTCAAAAAACAAAACAAAACAAAAACAAAAACAAAAAACCAGCAAAGGCATAACCCAAAGCTCTGACCCTGAGCTAGCTTCTTGCAGTTCAGGGGGCAACATACATGGGTGGTCCTAACATACGGAACCAGGGGTCAGGGGAAGTCCTACTCTGCTGTTATTCCACACAGCCTGATTTTTTTTTCTTTTTTTTTGAGACGGGATCTGGCTCTGTCACCCAGGGTGGAGTGCAGTGGTGTGATCACCGCACACTGCAGTCTTCACCTTCCAGGCTCAGGTGATCCTCCCACCTCAGCCTCCCAAGTAGGTGGGGCCACAGGCACTGCAGCATAACGCTGGGCTAATTTTTGTATTTTTAGTAGAGAAGGGGTTTCACTGTGTTGCCCAGGCTGGTCCTCAAGCGATTTTCCTGCATAGGCCTCCCAAAGAGTTAGGATTACAGGAGTGAGCCACGGCGCCAGGCCACAGGGCCTAATTTGTTTCAGCCTCTGGTTGCACTGTCCTCATGGTGAAGGGCAAAGATCCCTCCCTGTCAAGCTCATGAGAATTCTAGGGCAGCGATGCAGCTGTCTGGGAGGGGGCTTTCTGTGTGTACAGTCTGTGTGCTTTCATTAATTCACAAAGCGCTGTCCGTGAGGGAGCCAGGCAAGCGGCATTATTATTTCCATCAATCACCCAATACTGAAGAAACTGAGGCAGCTCAAGGCGAGGAAGGCTGCTGAGCTGGCTCATCCAATGGGAGGAGGAGGCGGAGGCTGGGAAGGCCCAGGCAGCCCAGGCCTGGCTCCCTCTGCCCGGGGATTGGAGGTGAAGAGTCGAAGCAGACAGTGTGTGGCTTGGCCTGCACCAGCCGCATTTCGAGTCAGGCACCCCACCGCCGCCGTTTTCTTGCTGGGTTCCCACATCAAATCCATTTTGATTCAATTTTGATGTTCTGTAGTAGTGGAAGGGAACGAGGTTTGAAAGAGGTCAGCTCCATTACTCAGCGTTATTAATGATGCTGTCGGCCGTTAAAATCCCAAAAAACTAGGAAACCAATAAATTTTACATATTGAAAAATCACAGGTGGATCAGGCAAATGGATAAATTCTTAAAAGTATTTAATAGCTGTTAAGAGGACAGAATGATAAATTCAATATTGAAAACCAATATCAGATTCACAATTACAGGTCATTTATCATAACCAACTGCATGGACAGCATCTTATTGCAGGGAGCACAGTGTGATTCACACGCAGAGACCCAGAACAAGTCCATATGAAACGAGAAATAAATCTGCTTTACACATTGGAAGCTTATTTCCACTTCCTATCTTTATTGCCAACAATAATGTTAGCTTTCAAGAACAAATTGTTACGCATTAAACCTATGCATAATGAGCCCAATTGAGTCAAAAACTTCCCTAAAAAGAGCTTTAAATTATTCCAAATTGGGTTATTAGCCTAACTCTAATTCCTCGGAGAAAGCCCCACAGTCTGACAGTGAGTTTCAGCACTTAACCACACAGTCGGTGTCCCAGGTTGGGCCCCAAAGTTCTGGATTTGTTCTTTGTTTTCCATCCCTCCACCTCCCCTGAATAATTAACAGTCATGCTAAGAACAAACATAATATTTAACAAATGTGTTAATTTAACAAATTGCAAGAAAATTGCAATGTATATTTCTGATTTTAAAATGAAGTTCTGCAACTTTTCAGTATAAAGAAAATAAAGTAAGATGAATTATTTTGCTTTCTTTGAATACATGAGCGACTATGAATAAGTGAAATGATTTGAGTTTGGACCCTTGGGTGTCACTGACAGGGTGCCAGCTTGGTCAATATTTTGATCTCCAGACATCGTAGGATCAAGGGCCAGGGAGGTGATTTTGCTGTTACGTTTCTCATCCTGCTGACAATCCAGGCTGACCCAGCTGACATGACTGTAATCAAGACACAGAATGGATTTTTTTTAACTGTATCTTTTCCTGATTTCAAGAATGAGGTGTTCAAGCGTAGACAATTTGGAATGCATAGGAGAAAAAAATCACCTCTAACTTCTCCCAGAGGCCACTGCTAATTACATTGTGAAATGTTTCTTTTTCATTTTTTTTACTGTGCATTTTTTCTTTACAGATTGAGATTATATAATTCTATCCCATGCAATCAAAATTTTAATGATTAAATAATACACCATTTTATAAGGGACCCTTTCCTAATGTTGGGTACTTAGGTTGCTTTCAACTTTTCTCTGTTATAAATAGCATTGCAATAATCATCTTTATACATGAATCTTTGGGTGAATTTCCGATTATTTCTGTAAGATTTGTTCTCAGAATTGTCATTACTGGGTTTAAGAGTGTAAACATTTTAAGGCTTTTGATATGTCCTGAGGCTAAAAATAATTTTATGTAAACCTCTAATTCGTGAATCTGTTTATTGTTTGTACAAGCTGCTGCCGTAGCCTAAAAGTTAAGATCACGGACTTTGGAGTCAGACACATTTCAAGTTCCAGGTCCACTACAGAGTAGCTAAGAGATTTAACTACTCTTAGCCTCCATTACCTCATCTGTAAAATGGGCATCATGACACATCTCAGGGTTTTCGTGAAGATAAAATGCAAGAATTCCTATCTTAGCAAGGCACCTGCCTGGTACAGAGTAGATATTTCATTTCATAAAAGACAAATAGTGTATTAGTCTGGTTTCATGCTGCTGATAAAGACATACCCAAGACTGGGCAATTTACAAAAGAAAGGGGTTTAATTGGACTTACAGATCCACATGGCTGGGGAGGCCTCACAATCATGGCAGAAGTCAAGGAGTAGCAAGTCATGTCTTACATGGATGGCAGCAGGCAAAGAGAGAGAGCTTGTGCAGGGAAGCTCTGCTTTATAAAGCCATTAGATCTCATGAGACTTATTCACTATCAGGAGAACAGCATCGGAAAGACCTGCCCCCATGATTCAGTTACCTCCCACTGGGTCCCTCCCACAACATGTGAGAATTCAAGATGAGATTTGGGCAGGGACACAGCCAAACCATATCAGATAGTATTGGTGTTTATTCATTTTTGTGTGTGTGACAGAGTATTATAATGTATGTCTTTTTATATAATAGATGCATAAAGGCATCATATAATTTAAAAACTTTTTCTTTTTTTTTTTTGTGATGGAGTCTCGTTCTGTTGCCAGGCTGGAGTGCAGTGGCGCGATCTCGGCTCACTGCAACCTCTGCCTCCTAGGTTCAAGCGATTCTCCTGCCTCAGCCTCCTGAGTAGCTGGGACTACAGGTGCCCACCACCATGCCTGGCTAATTTTTTGTATTTTTAGTAGAGACGGGATTTCACCATGTTGGCCAGGATGGTCTCGATCTCTTGACCTCATGATCCACCTGCCTTGGCCCCTCAAAGTGCTGGGATTACAGGTGTGAGCCGCAGTGCCCGGCCAATTTAAAAACTTTTAAGCTTTAATAATATTCTCCATTATCTCCAGAATAAAATTCTGCCTTGTTATCAATCAATATCTTCCTCCATCAGAGCCCAGCTCACCTTTCCAACCTTTTCCTCTCTCTTTCCTGGCAGTTACATTTTGCTCTAGCTGCCCATGGCACGTATCCCTCGAGTGTGCCATGTGCCTCCTATCACTGTGCCATGTCACTCCCCTCTCTCTAGTACTTTCTTTTCACTGTGCCAAATTCTACTCATTTATTTAGGCTTGGCTCAGGTGTCACCACTTTTATCAAACATTCCCTGATACCTTTGCAGACAAAATGAATGTGTTGGTCTTCTATGCTGTCATAGCATCTTGTGTATACCTGGGTTGCAACATCTCTCAATCTCACATGTTACAGTAGGTCAGCTGTGTTTCAGGCTCCCCCAACAAACTTGGCGCTGTTTAAAGGTCAAGATCACATTTTATTAATCTTTGTTTTCTTTAGTGCCTACTACAATGCATGATACAATAAAAGGGCTCAATAAAAGTTTCTTAAATGTAACATAGGTCATGGGTATGATCAAATAAATCAATACATGGCTTTTAAAGGCACATTGAATTTCAACTGAATCGAAAGCTGATTGGACTTTATTTATCATGAGATAAATACATGGACTTTATCATGAGATCTTAAATACAAAGGCATTTTGTGCAATAGTGTTTTCTAAGCCTTGAAATACTTAATGCAATTTGTAAAGTGTTTCTAGGCAAATTGTTAAGATTTAAAAATGTGCAAGGAATTTCAGAGGATCCTGTATAAACATATGTCAAAATATCTCATGGGAGACTACAGTATATGTGCATCATGTAGGTGTGGACACTGAAGCCCAGGAAAGAGAGAGCATTGAGTTATTGGAACCCTGAATTTCCTGTCTAGGCTTAAATAATATTATAGCAAAAGCTGAAGTTTAAAACAGTCTTCATATTGACTCAACACACCAATTAACTAGCCTGGTAAAATACCTGGGTTGTACCTAATTGACAAGCACTCACTTTATCATTATTTTTGTGTATTTGGCTTAGCGTTGGCTAAGAATAGTGCTTGGCACATCATAGGCACTCAATCAATATTTGCCAAATGACCACATGAATCAGCAGTCACATTTGGTGTGACCCAATCTGCATCCGCTTGGGGTTGTTCAGTACAGCTTGACAAATCTTTATAGAGTTCTCTCTGTGTTCCAGATACCTTGCCAAGGAGCTGAGGGTATGACGATGAATAGCATATGGTTCCTGTCTTCATGATGCTCAAAGTCTGGAATGGGGAGCAGACACATAACAGATAAATGCAGTACATTGTGGTTAGTGCAAAGAGAGGCCTGTGCACATGGTGCCAGGAAACCCAGAGGAAGGGTGTATGGTCCAACCCGGGGGCTTCAGGGAGGATTATCTAGGAGAGAATATGCCTGACTTAGTCTTGCTGGATGAGTAAGAGTTAGTGTGAAGAAACAGGTCGTCCCAAGCACAGAAGACATCACTAGCAAAGACAAAAATATGACATATCATTCATTAACTTATCCAATACTCACTGATGGCCTATTATATCCAGGTGTAGTTCTAGATGCTGGATGTATAATGGCAAACAAAGCAAAGTCCCTTCCTCATGGAGCTTGTGTTCTAGTGGGCACAGGGCCCACAAGCCTCTTTCAGCATTGCTGGAGGACAAATGTAGAGAAGGGAGTGGTAGCAGAGGAAGCTGAAGAAGAGGAGGACATTTTGCTTAATGTGTGAGAATTGTGTTGATACCCTACCTACTTCCACAAAGGATTTGAGGTGCTTATATAAAGCTAAGAATTTGCCAAGTCAAGCTGCCACTCAGCCAGAGTTCCAGACCCCCTCTCGAGGAGGAGATTCTTCTGCTTCCCCCAAAGTCTGTTGGTTTCTGCGAGGAAACTGCCAACAGTGCTGGAGAGAAGTTGTTCCTGGATGCTGCCTGCTACTAGAAATCCACCTGGGTTGATTTAGTGATTTGGGTTGTGAGTCAAGGCAGTGAGCAGGGAGCCTGGCACATAGTAAGAACTTCATAAATGTTTGTTGAATGAAAACATGTGTTATTGGGAAACCATGAGGGGGATGACTTTCTCTGTAAAACAAAGGCATAGCTAATCCCTTTGAGCTTTGACTTGAGTCTAAGAATGAATGGCATTATGAGCTTCCTGGAAAATAAGATGGCTCCTACTCCAACACCCTGCTCAACCCAAGTCAAAGGATAAAGAGCCGCAAGTATAATAAAACCCGTATGTTTTTATTTCCAAGTCCGTCCATCCACCCATCATCCATTCATTCATCCATGCATCCGCCCAGGATTAGACCAGGCACTATGCAAGACACTGGAGATATTGAAATGACTATGGTATTCACCATACAATGTGAGCAGGTAGACCTGTAAACATATAATCAAACTACAGTGAGAAAAGTGCCAATCAGGGTAGGTAAACAGGTAGGGTAAAGGCACCAAGGAAGGCCTTAGTGATGAGCAGAATTTTAAAGGGTAAGACGAGTTTGCCAAGCTTAAAAGAGGATGGGAAAGTCATTAAGGCTCTGAGAACAGCATAAATAAGATCATGAAGCACGGCTAGGCGCGGTGGCTCATGCCTGTAATCCCAGCATTTTGGGAGGCCAGGGCGGGTGGATCACCTGAGGTCAGGAGTTTGAGACCAGCTTGATTAACATGGAGAAACCTTGTCTCTACTAAAAATACGAAATTAGCCGGGCGTGGTGGTGCATGCCTGTAATTCCAGCTACTTGGGAGGCTGAGGCAGGAGAATGTCTTGAACTCAGGAGGCAGATGTTGCGGTGAGCTGAGATCGTGCCATTGCACTCCAGCCAGGGCAACAGAGCGAACTCTGTCTCAAAAAAAAAAAAAAAAAAAAAAAATCAGGAAGCCCAGGACACTATGGGGGATTCAGAATGGGCAAATAAACTGGTGTGGTATCAGGTAGAATTTAATTTAAAAGTTGGTCGAGTATTGAAGGTGAGGAGAATAAAGAAAAGTGTTTAGAGGTGCAAATTTTTCTAATCATTTGTTGCAAATAAAATGAAAACAGTGGCTGAGCACAGTGGCTCAGGCCTTTAATCCTAGCACTTTGGGAGGCTGAGGTGGGAGAATTGCTTGAGGCCAGAAGTTTGAGACCAGCCTGGGCAACATTGTGAGACCCTGTCTCTACCAAAAAAAACAAAAAAAAAACAAAAAAAAATTAGCCAGGCATGGTAGCCACACCTGTGGTTTCAGCTACTGAGGAGGCTGAGGCAGAGGCATTACTTGAGCCCAGGAGTTTGAGGCTGCATTGAGCCATGATTACACCACTGCATTCCAGCCTTGGCAACAGAGTGAGACCCTGTATATATATATGTATACACACACGCACACACACACACACACACACACATACCCTGTGTGTATAAATATATATAAATATATATATTTACATATATATAAAACAGTATCCAAGAAGTATGATTACATTGATTTCAGTCAGAAGGCTACTCTCCACCTAATGGTGGTGTTATAATTATTCTTCTTTTGGTAGCATTTATTTACATTTGCTTTGGACCCAAAATCAGAGCAAATCAGAATATGACAAAGGTATGTCAGTGATGAGAGTTATTTGATGGAGAATGCATTTGGTCTCTCTTGTGAGTAAGCAGTTTATATCCTGCCAGGCAACAGCCTGCTGTGGCACAAGGGCTATTTCCAATGATTTCTCTTTGACCCCTAACAAACTACATTTTGTAATTACTTATTAGCCAGAGAACATCATTAATATATAACTGTACCTTGTGTAAAATCCACACTTATGGATAGTTAAATTTATTCATTGAGTTCCTGAATCTCAAATCTTCCAAGGACTTTCACGAATCCCCATGATGCCTCTGAAAATTGCATTATGCATCCGATTCTCATATTTCTGTAAAAGAAGTTTCAGAAATTCATGTTGCTTGTCTTCAGTCCACAAAGTAGAGTTTCTTCTTTTGGACAAATTAGTCTTGGACAAAGTATAACCCAGAAATTGCTTCCAGATCATCTTGTACCTGTGGGAGGATTGAGGGCTTAAGACAGCATGCATTTCACAGTGTCATATTTGGCCCCTTTTCCTAGTAAACATGGAGGAAGGAGACCAAGAGACCCCAATCCAGGTTTTACTGGATGCAAGGAAATTCAGTATCTAAATGCCACATTTTCTGGGACAGCCTAATAATGTTATAATAGTGGAGCATCATAATAAGTAATGGTGTAATAATGTCATGATGATAACCTGTAATTTAAATAAATCCATGAAAATGTAGAATGGAGAGCTCTCCAGTACCAGCTACTGAGAATGAGTCACAGACTCAATTCTCAATTCAAAGCAATTGGCACTTCTGACGTTTATACACAAATAGATCTCCACCAATCTCATTAAATATTCAATCCATATTCAAAGTTATTAAATATTGAACATGATTTAATAAATACAACCAAGTTAATCAAGACTTCGATTGGTGGTTGTGGGTTCATAAAAAGCTTGTGAAAAGAGTCATGCCACTGCGTCTTATTCTGATCCTCTGCCTCCCGCCCGTTTTTAAGAGTGCAGGAATTGTGTTATATTTGTGTGTGCAGGGGATGTTTGGGGTGTGTTGGTGTGTGTGTAGGTGTGTTGGGTTGTCATCTCCCAGTAATTTGTGTATCGGGCAGGATTGTTGTGTGTGGGTATATTTGCAGATGGGTCTGGCATATATTGTATCAGTGTATGTTCTATCAGTGGATGTAATGCAGTTGAGCAATGGTTTCTTCTCTGCACCTCACTGATGGCTAGGACCACATGGATCCCAAAATTCTCTATAATTCTTTGGGGGCATTTTTCGAAGGTTACTTTCAGGTTTGTGTATGTGCATTCAGCTCCTGAGAGTGAATGCCTCCCTAGGTTGCCTTACCCAAGTCCCAGTCCCATAGTGCAAGACACTACAGCATCGAGAAAAGAGCTTAGAACAAGCTTGAGTTCAAATTCAGGTTCTGTCATTTACTGGCTATGTGGCCTAGGGCAAATTACTTTTTTTTGGCCCTCAGTCTTTCCTCTGTAGAAGGGAAATAATAATGCCTACTATACAGAATTGTCACGAAGTTTAAATGATAACATGTGTGTATCTTATTAATAAATTGTAGATATTTTACTTATTCTTTTTCCAAGGCAAGGCCCTATGCTGGGCTTTGTATCAGATATGAAGGTAAATAAGACATGGTATTGACCCCAATTATGTTAGAGTCTGGTGGGGAGGGAGACATTCCGCCCTCCCAAGCACTCTGACATATTGTGTTCCACTTGCAGTTTTAAAAGACCCCACAAGTTCTGAAATCGTTCATTCATTCAACAAATTCCAGTCATCCCTGGGTTTGCTTTGTGGGTATTCCTGCTTGGGGCTTTGAGTCAGAGTTCTGCAGGAAGATAGAGAGGGAAAGGCGATCTCCCCTCAAGGAATGGAGGGAGAGAGAAGGAAAACAAAGAGAATTCCCTGCCTGCACACTTGACTGAAGGAAAGACCACTGTGGTCTGAGCCTTGGATCCTCTCTCCAGTGTCCTAGCCTTCAGATAATTTATTTCTAAGAGGAGGAGATCCTCTCACCTTAGGTGCCGGAGTTTTGGCTTCCTTACTTTTCACCCCTGTCCAGGCCAAAGTGTGCAGAGGGTGCAATTGCACTTGCTTGTGGTCATATAGCTAACATGTGACAGAGCCAAGGATTTGAAGTCAGGCTTCCTCTTCCAGGTTCCCTACTCTGCTTCTGCTCCTTTTCTTTTTCTTTTTTTTTTTTTTTCCACTGTCTTCCGACTCCAGAGTATAAGCTTGCTTTTTTTTTTTTTTCTGGCAGCATCAACCAGGTATGCAAACTTTTTGATAGCAGGGTTTATAGCACAGAATAGTGGATTTTTATCTCAAATATGCCCTTCAGTGAGTAGCCTGGCTTTAGATGGCATAGCTTCCAAAATGACCTTGTTGCAGCTAGTTGAAGGTGGATATGGCAGTGGGCTGTGCAGAGTGGCGCCTCCTGTAAGTAGGCACTCAGAGACTGACAAATGAATGATGGACCATGGGCTCTAATGTGACCCCCAGCCAACCTCAGAGATGCTTGCTAAAAGTGTTTCTGGCTCTGTTGGGACATGTGTCCTTGGAGCCTTGCCATCTGGGTATGGAAGGTGCAGCTCTATAGATTGGTATGGCTTTTTAGAGTGTAGCAGAAAACCAGGCAATCCCCAGCCCAGCGTGGAGGGGGCCAGCAATCCTCAGACACACAATTCAAGCCTGGCAGGTGTGAGTGTATAAGAGGAGGGAGCGGGAGTTTCTTCCTATTTATTGGTCATCGAGATGGGATGAGATGGGAAGACCTGTCTACCTTCCCAAACCTATCAGAACTGAAGTCTGAGACTTATAAGTGGATGGCTACCACATAGAGGGAGGGTTGTGGGACATGGTGGGGATTACAACTCATAATGAAAATGGGAATGTGAAGATGAAGGAAAGATATGCCAAACCCTACCTTGTGCAGTATTAATTGCTCACAGTAGTCAAGTGCTACTCTGTGTCAGGAATTGTGCTTCGGTGCATTATGTGGTTTAATCCTCACACAGCTCACAGTACTATCATCGTTCCCATTTTACTGATAGGGAAACAGGTTAAGTGACTGCCCAGTGTCACAGTTAGTAAGTGGTGGAGCAGGCATACAAATTTGGCATCTATGATACCCACAAACTGTGGCACCTCAGAGCTGGAGAAAATCTTAGAGAACATCGAATTCAGCCTCTTCATGGTCAGGTGGGGAAATAATGCCAGCATGGGGGCGGCCATGGACCAAGGCCAGACAGCTGGTGAACAGCAGCCCTCAGATTTGCCTGCAGTCGGGACTAGGGTGAGGCAGGGAGGCTCTGAGGGGAGAATTTAAGGAGGCGCTCACCCTCAGTTGCAGACTCTGAGGGTGAGCACTCCACGTGCCCCACCCAAGTCTCAGCCTTGAGCAGATGCTTCTTCTGGCTTTGTGGTGTGAACCACAGAGGCCCAGGCCGGGCTTTATTGACTTAATTTGATATCCCAAAGCGAGGAATGAATAGAATATTTGTGCAGAGTTTTGCTAGCACCCCAAAGTAGATTTTTACCCAGGGGCTGAGCAGAGGTTCTGCTTCTGGTTGTACTTCTGTTTCTGCTTCTGGTTGTGTACCACAGAAATTTCTGGCCCCAGAAATTAGGGGTGGAACTATGAGAATCCTGGTGGTGTCGGGCCGCAGCGTGGACTCCATGGGAACGGAGACCCCACGTCTCTCCTCCCGCCCGACTCCACTGGGCTGAAACGAGGAAGTGCCAGGAAAAGCTTCTAGGGGAGGGACTTGCTCCATCAGACCCAGAATGGCCCGGGTGGGCTAGGTGCTCAGACACACGGACGGACACACAGCTCCCAGTCTCAGGCATTAGGCCTACTTTATTCGCAAAAATTCATCTCCCCAGGTGTGTATAACCACCTTTCCAACCCTGGGCCTTTCCGCTCCAGTTTTAGTTCAAGGACAAAAGAGGGCAAACCCCACGAGCAAAGTACCCTGCCGCCACTCCTATCCCGTGTAAGCAGGAGTCAGCCCACATTTCCTGGGAAGGGGTAGGAGGTGGAGGAAAGGGGGTTCCCTGCACCACTCTTAAGAGCCAGGTCTTTACCCCTGTCTGGCTTGGCCTCACTAGGAGTGTCGTGGGGCAGCCAGGCGGCCCCAGGTGCTGTAGCAGAGGAGGAAGGCTTCCTCCCCATGGCCCCCGGGACTTGGGCGCAGAGGCAGGCAAAGGGACGGGAACGAGCTGACGGGCCTCAGGCGCCCTCGCACTTCCCGCATCAGCGCAGGAGCCCAGTCCTAGGCTGCGAGGAGCGGTGGGGGTCTCGACCTTGCCTGGAGTAGACCTCGGCAAGACAAGTTCATTGCCCTCTTCTCTTTGGGTCTCAGTTTCCTCATCTCACCAGGCACGGCTCAGCCCGACTTGGGTCTTAACATTTTGAGTTCTTTGCTTTTCTTGCCCTTTTCCTTGCCGGGACGTTTCTCGAGCCCCTGTCTTGAGTCCCTGTCTCCGGCCCTACCCCTCCCTCTCGACCTTCGGCCTGTTAGGAGCACGGCCTGGGGGTGCCCCTGGCTCCATTTAACCCCCAGACCCCCACTCCCATCCCCGGGATCTCCCATCGAGAGCATAGAGGAGGAGGCGCGCAGGCCGCTCCACTCCCCCAGGAGGGAAAGGGGGAGTAGGGAAGAGAAAGGGGAGTAGACGCGCGAGAAGGTTAGCAGGAGGAGAAAATAGAAAATAGAGAAAAGAGGGAGCAAGAAAAATGACCAAAAGAACGAAAGTGGGGAGGAGGGAGGTGAGATGCTGGAAAAGGATGAATGGGAGAAAAAGGAGAATCCAAAGGCAAGCTGAAGAGAGAGACTGAAGACAGGAAAAAGAACGAACGAGCGCGCGCGTAACAGCAGGATCTGAAAGGACCAAACAGAGAGAAAGAGGAAAAAAATGAGGGGGGTGTGCGGGAGAGCGGAGGGAGGGAGCTGCGAGCCGGGAGGAGGAAGGCTGGGAGGGAAGGAGAGGGAGGGGCCGAGGGACGAAGCGGGTGGGGGCTGGCTCGGCAGCAGCCGCCGCGGCTCCAGCCGCCCGCTCGCTCGCTCGCTCAGTCGCTCCCGGTGCCCGCTGCCCGCCGCCCGGCTCCCGGCTGCTCGCGGCCCCCTGCTCCTGCCTGGCGCTCTGGCCAGGCTCGGGCTCCGGAGGACAGGACCGCGCGACTGGCCGGCCGATCCCTGGGCCGGCCGCGGGAGCAGGTAGGTGGCTGAGTGGGGACCGCGAGGACGCGGAGTCTCGGACGCCGGGGGCACCAGGGGACGCGGGGGTGGGGGTTCCGGCCCTGGGGAGGGGACTTTGAGGCCCCGCGACTAACTTTCCACCAGCTCCGCGGACCCCGGCCGCCCTGCCCGGGTCCCGGCTGCCGAAGCCGAGTTTGGCTCCGGGAGTAGGTGGATGCCGGGGCTTGCAGGAGCGCCAGGGGGTCCGGCAGGATGTAGGGCGCCTCAATGTGGGCAGCCGCAGCCCTCCGGCCGCAGTCGGGATGCAGCGTCCGCGGCGCCTCCACGTGCGGGGGAAGACCCGAGAGCAGTGGCGCGGCGCGGGTGTCCCGGGGAGGGCGCCCGTCCGCCCCCTTGAGTCTGGGGACTCCGCTCTCAAGCCGCCCCGGGTGCGCCGGCTGCACTCACTGCACCGGCGCCTTCCCCGCCGGGGTCGGGAGGCAGAGCCTGCGGGGACGCAGCAGGTTTTCGGCGGCGGCCGGCGATGCGCCCCGCGGCCGCTAAGCCCCAGCAAGTGCCATGCACGCTTTTGCTTTTGGGAGAAGGGAGGCGGAACGTGTATCCCCCTATTTCTTTCCCATCCCATAGCCGTTACTCTATTCCGGGAAGTCCAGGACCTGGACGGCCTTGTTGGTTGGCTCCCAGGACGATCCTCCTGCCCTAGACTGCGACCCTGGCTCCCAAAGTTAAAGGAGAAGCAAGTGACTCTCTGCGCGCGCCTGGAGCGTGGTCCCGAAGTTCCCAACTTCTCGCCCAGCCGTGGGCGGTAGTGTTGGAGGTGGGGAAATGGGTGGTGGTTGTGGCTCCTTGGAGCTGCCGAGCGCAGCCGCCTTCCTCCTGGACTTGGTTTATTTTCCTAATTTGTTAGAAAAAATACTACTTAAAAATAGGCAGAATCGTTCCTCGAGGGCGTCAAGGTCCCTGAGTGGGATGCAGCCGTCACCTGTCCTGAGCCCGGGAGCGCCGAGCCTCGGCGTGGCGGTGCCCAGAGCCCCCGAGCCCGGGCGGCTTCTCCCGGACCTGGACTCGCGGGCTCCATCCAGCGGCAGCCGCGTCTCGGGATCGGTGCCCCGCAGCCCGCGCTGCGAGGCCAGTGTGACTGTCTCCCGAGTGGTCATGTTCTCCGGAAAAATATTTCAAAGTGGCTCCGCTTCAGGATCGCCCACTCTCCATCCCTCCAAGAGCCGAGAGAACAGGGCCTGCGGCGGGTTGGAGGAGGCCTTTGGGATGGTTTGGGCTCCTGGCCATCTCGGCTCCCTTGGGCAGGGGTCCTCGCGCCCCGGCACCAGCGCCCCTCCGGCGCTCTGCCAGGGAAACAAGGGTTAAAACCCCGGCCGGTGGGGGGTGGGGGGTGGGGGGCGGGGGGTGCGGCTCGCGGCGGCCGGCTGGGGCAATCGGAGCCTGCCGGGGGCTCAGTCCCACTCGTTCCCGGAGTCGGAGGGGCCGGATTCGCCGACCTCTGCGGCTTCTCGGAGCCAGCGGAGCCCCGGCCCAGCAGCTCTCTTTGTTGGAGTGCTGTCGGGAGATTATCTTGAGAGGTTTAGGGGGTTTAGAGGTACCAAAAGCTCGAGGCTTTCCGGAGAGGGTCCCTCTGCCGTCACTCCCTGCAGACTGGGCGGGGTGCCCCGAGGGCGTTGAGCAGACGTTGAGCATCCTCTGCTCCTCCGGCGGATTTTCCTGGTGCACACCATGCACCAGCTCTCTCCGTTGCTCACATTTTGTTTAAGCCGCTAGAAATTCGAGGTCTAGGACTGCAATCTCGCCACTTCCTCCCACTCACAGATCAGCAAACTGAGGTCCAGAGAAGTGAAAGGACTTGCTTAGAGCTGCTATACGGGAGGAAGAGTAGATAAACCAAGTCTCCTGACTTCTGGGTCAGGGCCTTTTCTAGTATTCCACTCTAACTTTACTGCTTTCTTCGCACAGGGCAAGTGTTCCCAGTTAGGCCACTGCACATCCTTGACAGGCTCGAGGGCTGGGTGTGTGTGAGGTTAGAGGCAGAGGACCTGTCTCTGGATTTTCGGGTTAGGTGCTGTGCTGGGAGCATCTCCCAGGATAAATCACTCATGTGACAGTTTGTTGCATACCTGTTCTGTCCCTGCACCGAGCTCTGGGGGTAAATGGAGCCCGCACACAGGGCTCAGCCCCATCAGGTGCAACCCATAGGGAAAGAGGAGCCATTGTTTTGTAGTCAAGGAAGTGAGTGCATGTAGGCATTCTCAGGTGAAATCACTTCGGGAGGGGCTGGATTAGGGATAGTCCGTGGAGAAGGCAAGATTAGGAGCTGATCCTCGGGTAGGTTTCCATTTGGGGAAGGAGGGTTGTCAGGATACAGGGCTTGAGTCCTAAGAAGGAGGCAGGAAAGCTGGTTAAGCGGCTGGTCAAAGCACAGCACTGTCAGGGCCAATGAGCACTGGGCCTTTGTGTGAGAATCACTAGGGAAGCTAGAAGAGCCAGTTGCTCAGAGCTCAAGCTCAGAACCTGGCCCCAGGGGTCTTCTAGGCCTAGACTTAGGGTGAGCAATCGGCCGGCAAGTCAGTTCCCCATGAGCCAAGTGTGGTGGGGTCAGATGGGCAGTATTCTGGCGTTTGCTTCTTTTCTCCTTTCTCATCATTCCCAGGGGTTTCAATCATTCTCATTATTTTGCCCCTTCTCTCTTTTTTTTTCATTCTTTTTTTTTTGAGACGGAGTCTCACTTTCTCAGGCTGGAGTACAGTGGCATGATCTTGGCTCACGGCAACCTCCGCCTTCTGGGTTCAAGTGATTCTCCTGCCTCAGCCTCCCAAGTAGCTGGGACTACAGGTGTGGGCCACCATGCCAGGCTAATTTTTGTATTTTTAGTAGAGATGGGGATTTGCCATGTTGGCCAGGCTGGTCTCAGACTCCTGACCTCAAGTGATCTGCCTGCCTTGGCCTCCCAAAGTGCTGGGATTACAGGCTGAGCCACCGCACCCAGCCCTTTTGCCTCTTCCCAACCATAACTTCTAGCTGCTTCAGTGTTCCGAACTTATGAAAGGCAGGAACACGTAGTCAGCAAATAGTTACTGAGCTCCTTCTTTGTGCCAGGCACTGGACTAGGCCCTTGGGATACAGCAATGAATCAGACAGGAGGAGTCCCATACCTTGTGATGCTGACATTCTAGGCTCTCTCCTCCATAGGCTTAAAGTTTAGTCGTAGAACAGAGGCAAATACACAACAATGTCTGAAGAAGTCCTGAAATGGGACAATATAATAGGGAATTCTGAACCTCCCCTCTAGTGGTTCAAGGCTCCAAGGTGAAAGATTTGACGCTGTTGGCTGTGAGATTTGGAGATTCTGTGGGCTTGCATGACCCCAGCTCCTGGTTGCCAGGGGTAACCCAAAGGCAGCTGCAGTGGTGACCTTAGAGGCAGCATTGGAGAACTGCTGTGCAGATCTTCTGCCAGGAAGGGAGCTGGTGAGTGCTGGCAACTATGATCTTGCTAGGTATCCATAGAGACTGGTGCCAGGTAACCATGTCCCTCTTAAATTCCAGCATCCACAGCTGTTTGGTGTGCTCTGGAGCCCCATTGTACAGATGAGTAAATGGAGCCCTGAATCTGTAGATTGGGACAGCTGTGCAGTAAGAGGGGCCCAGCCCGTATAGAATCCAGGTGTTCCCTGATACAGGATTCAATTTAAAATGCTGCTCTTTTCTTCCTAGTAAAGCATTTCTTCCTTGCAGACTAGTGATTCTCAGATTTCAGTGTGGAGGGCTTGTGAAAACACAGGTTACTGGGCCACACTCCCAAGTTTCTGATTCAATGGGTCTGGAGTAGGTCCAGCAATTTGCATTTCTAAACAAGTTCCTTGGTGATGCTGATTCTCTAGTTCTGGAGACCACACTTGGACACTTTGAGAATCAATGTGGTAGAACAAGGGAAAGTGAATGATTTTTTGAGATTATAAGATGGGGAAGCCTGGAACGAAGGCTGTGATTTAGCTCTAGGAACTCATAAGACTTGCTATGTACATCCCCTCCCCCTCCCCATCCAAGAGGCCATAGAATTAAAAGAATATTTTATCTTCATCAGCACATACACAGAGAGAATATATTGCAATATAATTAGGGAATAAATAGGTGTCGTGTATTGGATGTAGACTCCATGCCCGGTGGCTCTGTGGGGGTTTATTATAGCAGTGTTATAATTGAAAAGGTGTCATCCACTCCGAGAGCCCCTCATGAAACTTCCATGGCCTGGGTGGTCATTGTCCAAAAAAACATGCCTTCTTCATTAAAAGACTGAAAGAGAGATTGCTTCTCCTGCTAATGGGACTGTGTTTCATTTGACAGTAACTATGCAGTGTGTTCTTAAGGAATTGGGAGGGGTGGGGGAAACAACTGAACAGCCAGTGTGAACAGAGAGGTGCTGAAGGAAGTCCACACCACAGGTTCACAGGTCTGTTTGTTGAGCATCTCAAAATGTTTTGAAACTCTGTCTGTCTGTCTTCCTGTATTTCTGATATGAAGCTGTATCTCAGCAGGAAGAGGAGAGTTTGTGTTTCAACTTGGCTGGCCTGGTAAATGTAACAGCACACTTTATCCCCAATGTGTTAATTAGACCCAAAAGAAAAGAACCATAAAAGAGTTGTTCTCCTAAACGCCAGCATTTTTCATCTGGATTCTATTTATCGATTATTTTATAGTTGAGAGGGAGCAAAAATCCATGTTTTTATAGCAAATAAAGCTGGCTGCAGTAATTATGCAGGCTTAACATGTCTGTTCTGGAGCAGGAAGTTGGAATTCAGCCTGACTCTCAAACATTTGGGTGAGATCTAATTGAAAAAGACATTTCAAAGAACAAATATTTAGGAATGAGGAGTTTCGCTGATGGTCTCTCTGGGCCAAGTGTGAGTACCTTGCTTTTAGTTTGATCCTCAGAGGTGGGAGGAGACTATGGAGAAGGACCTGGTCAGTAATGTTGAGACCACAGTCAAAATGTGAGGCTGAAACTTAAAGATAATCAGTGAGGCTTAGTAAAGGGAAGAAAGATGCCTTCAGGGAATATATCCCCTGTACCTGGTGAGCAAGGGGAAGATCAATTAATCAAATATAGATTGAATACTTATTGAATGCCAAACCTTGGGATAGGCACAATGAGGGCAGGGGCCAGGACTTTACTAGTTATATATCTTTTATAATGGTTAGCTCAGGTATCCATTGTGACAAAAGCCCTTGATTGGAGTGGGAATGAAGGCTGCAAGTGACAGAGAAGCTGAATTCAACTGGCTGAAACAATAAGGAATTTAGTATCTCCCATAACAAGAGGTCTGGGTTATGTCTGCCCTATAGTTGGTTCTTTCAGTTTGTTCAACAGCATCATGAAAGATCCGGATGCTTTTCATCTTTCCTGTTCCCAAGATCACAAGATGGTGGCAACATTTCCAGGTGTTATATCCTCACAATCATGAGCAGAGGCAGAAAAGGCAGGAGGGAGTCTTACCCAGAAGCCCCTCAGCAGACTTTCCCTTTTGTCTTATTGGCTAGAATTGTGAATCATGTGTCACGCCTAAGTCAACCACCACAGGCAAGAGAAGGAAGTCATTGTAATTGACCTAGAACAATTTTTTTTTTTTTTTTGGAGACGGAGTTTCACTTTTGTTGCCCAGGCTGGTGCCATCTCGCCCCAGCCTCCCGAGTGGCTGGATTACAGGCACGCGCCACCATGCCTGGCTAATTTTGTATTTTTAGTAGAGATGGGGTTTCTCCATGTTGGTCAAGCTGGTCTCAAACTCCCAACCTCAGGTGATCTGCCAGCCTCGGCCTCCCAAAATGCTGGGATTACAGGTGTGAGCCACTGCGCCCGGCTGAACCATCTTTTTTTTAAAGGGCTCTCCTTCTGTTGCCCAGGCTGGAGTGCAGTGCTGCTATCATAGCTCACTGCAGCCTCAAACTCTTGGGCTCAAGTGATCCTCCTGTTTCAGCCTCCTGAGTAGATGGGACCACAGATGTGCACCACAGCACCTGGCTTGGCCTAGAACAACCTTGATTTGTGTATTGGGCCTCAGAGAGGATCAAAATTAGGATTCTTTTGGAAGGGTGAAAGGAGTAACTAACAGTGGTTGCCATAGAGCTCAAGACATGGGTTTGAATTATCTTTCTACTCGTTTTAAGCCCTGTTTTTCACCTCCTGTGCCTCAGTTTACTGAACCTAGGATGGGGATCTATTGGGAAGATAAATCTGAATTAGCACCATAATTATACTTGATTAGTACAAGAGAGTAGAAGATTATTTGTAAATTGATCTCTGAATCAAAGAATTTATAATCATCTAATGCAGGGGACATGTGAGGACTAGACCATCAAGAATATCAAATGGAGAACAGAACTAGAGAATAAATAATCATGACTTGCAGACCCACCATTATAGGAGGAGCATAACATCAATGGGAGCCATAGTAGCTAGGGAAGGCTTCCTGGAGGAGGTGGTTCATGGCTCATACTGAAACTCCAGCACTTAAGTATGGATAGGTTATAAAATCTTTCTGCCCAACTTGCTTCCTCTTGCTTTTTTCTCAGTGGTAAAATGGGACCATTTGGCCAAGATAAAAATCTTATCTCTACAATCACAGTGGCTTTGATAGTCAATCCAAATACGATCAGTACTGACTAGCATGATTCTGGGAGGGAGGCCGCAGTGACTCCCTCGCCAGCCCTGGATTCCTGGTTTCCAGTCCTGGATCACGCATCAATCTCCATGTCTCAAGCCACGTTTCATCTCCTGATTAGATATTATTATTATTATTAGTTTTGAGATAGAATCGTACTCCTGTTGCCCAGGCTGGAGTGCAGTGGTGCAATCTTAGCTCACTGCAGCCTTGACCTGCTTGGGTCAAACGATTCTCCCACCTAAGCCTCCCAAGTAGCTGGGACTACAGGTGTTGCCACCATGCCCAGCTAATTATTTTTATTTTTTTTTTTGGTGGAGATGGGGTTTTGCCATATTGCCCAGGCTAGTGTCCTGAACTCCTGGGCTCAAGCAATGCACCCACCTCAGCCTCCCACAGTGCTGAGATTACAGGCGTGAGCCACTGCACTGGGCAGATATTATTATTATTAAAAGCAGTATTTGGATGCCTGGCCGCCATCATGAAACCTATATGCCTAAACTGAAATCTAATGTTTCCTCACCTCTCAAGTCATCTCCCCTTCTGGTTTCTTCACTTTTGTTGCTGGCGAAACCACCTTCCCAGATGTTTGGGCTCAAAACCTGAGCAGGTACCCCTGCCCCCATTCCATACACTCTGCTTGCAATACTCAAGCATCGACTTGCTTTTTTTAAAAAAAAAATTAATTAATTATTTTTGAGATGGAGGCTTGCTCTTGTCACTCAGGCTGGAGAGCAATGGCGTGATCTCTGCTCATTGCAAACTCTCCCTCTCGGGTTCAAGCAATTCTTGTGCCTCAGCCTTCTGAGTAGCTGGGATTACAGGCTTGCACCACCATGCCTGGCTCATTTTTGTATTTTTAGTAGAGAAAGGGTCTCACTGTGTTGGCCTGGTCTCGAACTCCTGACTTCAGGTGATCCACCCCACTCGGCCTCCCAAAGTGCTGGGATTACAGGAGTGAGCCACCATGCCTGGCTGCCTTTTGTTTTTAGGATGTTTCTTGTATATGTTCTCTCCCTTCTGACATGAGAAATCTTCTTTGCTCAGGTCCTCTCTAACTCATGCCGGGTGATGGCACTGCATCCTACTCTGCCATCCTCAGAGCATAGTGCATAGGTGTATGGGGGGACATGTGTCTTTGGGAGTAGTCTATGGGGGCTCTGTAAATGGGATAGTTTTTATAAATTCTACTGAGGGGTAGAGTCTCTGCAATGAGTCCGGAATCCATGGCTGCAAATCCAATATGTTGCTCTGGGAGCCATTTTCCAGCCTCTCATCTCTTTCCCCTTCATATCACACTGAAGCATTGGTTTTGGTTTGTTTTTGGAGACAGGGTCACACTGTTGCCCAGGCTGGTGTGCAGTAGTGCAATCATAGCTCACTTCCATCTTGAACACCTGGGCTCAAGCTATCTTCCCGCCTCAGCCTCCAGGGTAGCTGGGACCACAGGTGTATGCCACCATGCCTGGCTAATTTTTTTTTTTCTTTTTTTACAGAGATGGGTCTTGCTATATTACCCAGGCAGGTCTCAAACTCCTGGCTTCAAGCAGTCCTCCCACCTTGCCCTCCCAAAGTGCTGGGATTACAGGAGTGCGCCACTGTGCCTGGCCTAAAACATTGTTTTAACCAACTCATTATCTTACATTTTTTTTCCATAGCACCTACCAGATGAAGCCCAAGTTCCTCAAATAGACAGTTGAAAGTCTCAACAATCTGCCTGCATCCTGCCTCCCCAGTCCCTACCTGTTCACTGCTAGGACTCACCATTATGGCTGACTCAGCTTCAAGTTCTGTCTTTCCCTGTGTTTAATCCAAATCACCCTTTCCTTTAAGACCAGTGTTAGTCCTGCATCCTCAGGTGACCTCCCCTCACTACTGGAGCCCACAGTGATATCCAAGCATTGATCTTTCCTTCCCATGAACTTCTGTAGCAATTATTGCCCGCACCACAAATTTGGCACTTAATATGCTGCTGTTGTCATTGATAACATTTTATTGGTGTGTTTATTGTCTTCCCAGTTGGATATAAGACCCCTGGGACCCAAGGCAGTGGGGGTGGGTGTATCTGTCTTTATACCCAGGGTCGTGGCCAGCAAGCACACAGCACTTCAGTATTTGTTGAATTAATAAATCATAGGAATAGATTATTTACCTGAGAAATCAGTTAATCTTCACCCTTTTTTCTTCACCTCAACTGGGGAAAGGGACTAAATTTAATGAATTCCTGCTCTGTGCTGGGTACTACTTCAGGTGATTTTTAGGAAAGATTTTAACTGAGCCTGGTAACCACCCTGTGAAGTCGGGATTCTTGGTGTTATCCTGCAGATGAGGAAAGCGTGGCTCTGGGAGAGTCGGGTGGCTTCCTGTGCTCACTCAGCCAGCAGGAGAGGAGTGAGGAACAGGGTCATCTTCTTTCCTCTATGTTTTCTATTGCATACATCTTCCTGAAGTTCTCCCGACCTTTGGGTGCCTGTTCTCCCAGTCTCTTTTTCCTTGTGTCCCACTGTGCCCCACTGCTTTGCTGCATCCCCAGGACTTTGGAATAATTCAGGAACCTCTAGATTCTAGCAGCGGACTCTGAGCTTTCTGGTGGAACAGATAAGATGTGTTACTTGGTGCAGAAAAGAGGGGTAGAGCCAGTAACGAGCAGGAGAGGACTTACTAATGGGCCTCAGGTCTTCAGAAGGCCTTGGATGACAGTGGGCAGGACATAGAGCCTTCTTTGGGGGTGTCTGGGAGGAGTGGGCGATGTTTACTGCGGGAGAGATGAGGTGTGAGACCATAGCAAGGACCACCATTGTTAGGGCCTCGCGGTTGAGCAGGCACTTCTCAGGCGCATGTATTTTCTAGACTGTGTCTTACAACAACTTTGTAGAGCAGGTTATTGTCCTCAGAACAGGATGTTAAAGAGTTCAAGTGGCTTGGCCCAAGTCACACCCCGACTTGATGCCTACCTCCCAATGGTTAGTAACCCTGAGTGACAACAACAGGCTTGGTTTTCCAGAGGCCATGTGGACCACGTGAGGTGGCCATGCTTCCTGAGGTAGGAGCTTCATAGTATGATGTTGGAAGGACTGTTCTGGAATTGATTCTGCAGGTCGGTAGAGGTGACTTACCCCTGTGTATCTAGGGCCTATCTTTTCTCAGACCAAAAATTATTTAAAACCCACTCCTGTCCTTGGAACCTGTCCTTCCCCTGCCTGACTTGCCTGGTTTATCATCCAAGCTTAAAATAAATACAATAAATAAAAACACCCCAAAACTCTTTCTCCTCCTGCAGAGGATGAGCAACAATCTACATATGCAAATAAATGGCATGCCAGTCTCCATGAATATTAATTTGGAAAGGGAGTCTGAGGCCCTAAAATACACTCAAAACCAACAATTTGGCATCTCACAACTCTTCCAGCTCACTTCCAGTGATCGTGGCCTTGTTATATTTTAAGATTGCCCCGCTCCCAGCTGGCCGCCCTTCTGCACCCCTGGAAGTTCAAGTTACCAAATGGATGGAGAGTGTCTCAGGTTGGCAGGTTGGAGGTCCAGGGATGACGGGTGAGTCCTCACCCTGGGGCTGGGCTGACCTTGTCCTGCCTCCCCGGTCAGGGCCCAGGCCTTAGCCCCTCTCTGATCCCAGCATTAGCAGGGAGTCCTCAACGCCAGGGGACATTTCTGGGAAACACCATGGGCAACCGTCAACCTGGGACCCTTGTACTGTCAGGGAACATGCAGGGTGGGGCAGGGCAGCAGCCTCAGGAATCAGCTTCTCCGGCCTCTCAGGGGCAAATGGGGAAACCGAGATCCGGAGGTTAGGTGCCTTGCCCAGAGTGCCACGGTGAGTTAATGGCAGGAAGTGAGAACACTTGTTCATTCTTTGCTCTGAGAAGCACATTTCTTTTTGAGTGTGTGTGTGTATGTAGAAGAGGGTAGGCAGGGTAGTGCTTAAAGTTTGTATACTTTGGGGGAAAGAGTCATTCTTCTCTTATGATCATTTACCCAGAGACAAGTGGCAACAGAAAATTCAGCCTTGTGTCCCATTTCCATTGAAATAAATGATTTCCTTCCTCTCTCAGTAGATTTCCAAATTAGATTATGCATAGGCCAGAATTAATGTGAGGTTGTCTTGCAGAGTACCCTCTGGCTGAAGGCGTGATAGGGCAGGAGAGAGAAGGGCTGAAGTATCTCCAAGGAAGCCAGGTGGGAGAGGACCTCGAGGTGGAAGAGGAAGGAGTTGACAGTAACTTCTGTGTCCCACTTGTATGGGGAGGAGGGCAGAGGGGAATGGTGCAGCATTGTGGTATCATCAAGAGTTGGGTCTCTTGCTTGCCCTTTCCTACTGCTTATTGGATAGGCATGAGCATATCAGCTCATCTTTGGACCTCCTTTTCCTTGTCAGTAAATATTGGGGTAATACTGAGATAACCAACCACTTCTCCCTCCCTCCCTCCCTTCCCTCCCTCCCTCCCTATCTCCCTCCCTCCCTCTCTCTTTCTTTCCATCTGTCCTTCTTTCTTCTTCTTTTTCTTTCTTTCTTTCTTTCTTTTTTTTTTTAGACAGAGTCTCACTCTGCTGCTTAGGCTGGAGTGCAGTGGCACAATTATGGCTCACTGCAACCTCGACATCCCAGGCTCAAGCAATCCTTTGGCCTCAACCTCCCAAGTAGCTGGGAACATAGGTGTGCACTGGCATGCCAGGATAATTTTTTATTTTTTTTTGTAGAGATGGGGTCTCCCTGTGTTGCCCAGGCTGGTCTCAAACTCCTGGGCTCAAGTGATCCTCCTGCTTTGGCCTCCCAAAGTGTTGAGATTATAGATGTGAGTCACTATGTCCGGCTTGCCCCTACTTGTTAGTGCTGCTTTGTGAAGACTAAATGAAGATTTAATGTTCTGCACCATGCCTCACACAAAGGCATTCAGGACATCTAAATTTCTTTCTTTTCCAGATAGATTTATTTGACTGGCTGCAGTTGTCAGTATGGCTATGTTTGTATTTGTGTTTGTGTTTCCACTTGTGTCTAGATTGGTGTGTTTCTCTTTGTTGTCTGTGTATGTGCTGCTGTTATCCACGTGTGTATTTCTGAGTGTGGTGGTGTAGATAGGGATGTGAGGACGTCTGTATATGTCTTTGTGCTTGTGTCTTTGCGTGTTGGGTTGAGTAGCGTGCTTTGTGCCTGTGAGCAGCTGTGTCTCTGTGTGTCAGTGTTTCCATGATGGCATGACTGCTCTATGTGTGTGTGTATTGCAGGGCTGGTATGCCCAGAGATCTCCAGGGATTCAGGAAGCTTCACAGTGCACAGGAGCCCTGGACCTGGGTCCCCTCTAAGGTCCCTATGGTGTCCTCCTCCCCGCAAAAAAGCCTCCTGCAGTTCCTGGAGACCTTCCTAATTGCCCTCTGTCTGTTTTCCTCTGCC
The DNA here is from genome assembly GCF_000001405.40 of Homo sapiens. NCBI lineage: Eukaryota > Metazoa > Chordata > Mammalia > Primates > Hominidae > Homo > Homo sapiens. The sequence continues at coordinate 345,503 of NW_003315944.2, read as the reverse complement.
TCCCACTGGAGGCACATGGGGCCTAAGAATGCTTCCGAGGTGGCAGGGCCCCTGGTCCATTTGCATTCGTGTTTGCATATCATTTGCATTGTCTATACAGACTGTGCTTTCAGTTCTGCAGTTTTCAAGGTAAAATGTAGTTGCTCTTCTTGAAGGTCATTATATTAAGAATTTTTCTCTGTTTTATTCTTTCTGGTCCAGACCACTCTCCCAGAACCGGGAGGGTAGGGCAGGATAGAAGCCCCAGAAGCCTCTGCTGTTCCGTCAGCCCCTCCTCCTGGTCCACTGCCCCTCCCTGGGCCTCCAGCTTGGGGGACACTGTGACAGTCTTCCACTCAGCGGGCCTGGTTCAGTGGGTAGAGACCCTGGGCCCTGGGAGGAGGAGCAGCTGCGGGGGAGATTTTCTTACCCAGAGGTAGTTGATTCGGCCCAGATCCCAAGAGGGCAGGGAATAACACAGTCCAACTTGTGCCTATTGCCTGCTTGCCCAGTCCCCATGACTTACTCCTGTTAGGGAAGGACCACCATGGATGTTTCAACGTCTGTATACCCATCTTTGGCTGGGGAGGGGCCACGGGGCTGGGCTGGCCTTATAGGAAACAAAGGAGTCAAAGATGTCTTTTCCTTTCAAACATCTAATACATACTTAATAATATTTCTGATGCCACGGAAGACACAAATCCAAAAAGCTTCCCCAGGAGGGCTGTACCCAAAAAGCTTCCCCAGGACAGCTGTACCCAAAAAGTATCTTCCTTATGGGTCACCCCATGCAAGACATCTCCTCTTTCAATGTGGATTTGAGTCCTGGCTCTGCCATGCACTAGCTGCATGGTTTCTGACCAGCTACCTAACCTGTCTGAGCACCCTGCTTCTCATCTGTAAGAGGAGAGTGATAACAGTACTTAAGATTAATAATACATAGGGTTGTGAAACTCAAATGAACAAGGCAGGTAAAAGGCTTAGCTTAGTGTCTGGAATGTAGCAAAGACAAAGACTCAGTGAATGTCTGACTTGCCAGTCCCCATGGGCGTATTAGAAAACAGAGGTTCCAGGGTGTGGTCTTTATCGCTTCGTATAAATTGTTCACCGGAAGCACCTCAGACGCGTGACAGGCAACAGGCCTGCGTCCCTTCGTGGCCTTTCTGTAAGTCCAGCTCTAGGGGACCTTGGCTGCTTTTGCCTTCCCACAAGGGGAAGTGTTGCAAAGGCAGCTGGGGAAGCAGGAGCACCCTTGTCTGTGTCTCCGAAAATTCAGCCCCCACTCTCCCCTGGTTCCAGGGTTGGCAAGATCTCATCTTCTCAAAGTCAAGTCATTCATCTTCTCTCATGTGTCTTTCCTCTGAGCAAGGCCCTGCTGGACACCCAGGCCCTTCCACAGCAGAGCAGATTTTGGGTTCCCCAGAAAACAGAGCTTGAGCGAAGTCTTTGTGCTGGTGCTTTATTGGGGGGCTGGGGTGGAGCTCAGGGCAGGGAGAGGGAGAGGAAAAAGGAAAGTGAGGCAAGGAGGGAGGAAAAGCGAATGCCAGCCGCCACTTCGGGAGAAAAGAAAGCTGGTTGCTTAGTCATGAGGGATGGCTCCTGTTAGGCTGAGTGGAGCCACTGTGACTCAGAACAGTTTGTTGCAGGTACAAGTGATAGAGTTTATCTGCTAGCTCTTTGGTGTTTCATTGGTTCAGGTTTTCCTCATGGAGCATTAACTCCCTTGCACCTCCGGGTCATATCACCTGACCCTGTTGGGAAGCCTCTGGAGAAGCCCAATCCCATGCCCTGTGGCATGGTGCCTCACCTGGGCCCAGAAGTCATGACAGCATCCAGTGCTCCACATGACCGGTGGGTGGACCCTGGTACGGAAGCTGCTCTGGCTTCTGAGGAGTGTGCAGTGCAGGCTGTGCCAGAGCCTGGCCCTCACCCTGGGGGAGGCTGGGGCAGCCAGTGATGTTAGATGAGACCACTGGTAGTGGTGGCCTAGCTCTCCACCCAGAAAGTAGGTGATGGTCTGGGAGGCAGGTGGGGCCAAGCAAATCTGGGAAAGCGCATATGTAGGGTCTGATTCAGCCATCATTAATCAATGAATCAATTCACGACTGGGGCCAGGTGCTGGAGTCTGGGCCTTCCCCTGTAGGCAGGGGGGAGTCATCAGTGGTTCTTGAGCAGGTGAGAGACTGCTCAGTGTTCAGTAATGACATGAGTTATTTGGAGAGGGTCCTTGCTCAGGCCTACATGTCTTTGTCCACAAAGATTCAGATGGGGGTTGATACCAGAAGACCTGGCATTCCTAACTCAGTTCAGGGAACAGAAAATGCTCCTAGCTCATCATTGCCTATGGAGTTTCACTCAGCAGTGAGGAGGCTGAGTCCCCCATGACAGCTGTAGAGGTCTTAATCAGAGAGGAGAATGTCCTTCCCGAGTAAGGTGAGATCATTCTGAAGTGGGTCAGAGACCAGAGTGCCTGGGTTCGAACCCCAGCTCTGCCATTTAAAAGCAGGTGACCTTGGGCAAGTGACTCAACTTCTACTCATTCAGTCAATGTTTAGTGAGCACCTGCTCTGTGGCAGACTGTTCTTGCTGTTGGGCGTACAGCAGTGAGCAATGCAAGACAAACAGACACAAATCCTTTCCTTGTGGAGCTTCCATTCTCGTGGAGGAAGCCGGACTCTAAGCAAGTAAGTTAGTAGATGGTTTATTTGAAGGTGACAAGCGATGTGGCGGAAAGCAGGACAGGTGAAGAGGCAGTGATGGGTGGGGGTGGGGTTGCAGTTTAAAAAAGAGTGTTAGGGAAGGTCTGCAATAAAAAGGTGGCCTTTAAGTTATACCTGGAGGAGGGGAGGGTGTGAGACATGCTGATATCTAGGGGAGACACCCTTGCCTCAGTTTTCTCACCTGTACAGTCAGGGTTATGATAGAACCTATCTCAGGGGCTGCTGTGAGGGTTAAATGAGTTAATCCACGCAGTGGGTTTAAACCTGGCCTGGCACACAGTGAAACACTATTGTCACCACTGCTGAGGTAGGAGTCCATCTCTACTGCCTCCAGGCGGTGCTCCTGGGCTCTAGACTACAGGGATTTTGGTGGCCTTCATCTCCCCAAGAGTGCGTGTGGGGATCTCCTCCAACCTTCCCTGTCTCCTCATTGAAAGGGGCACACAACCTGCAGTCTGAGAAGCAACACATGCATTTTCTTTTTACTCGAGCATCTGAGTCCCTGAGGGAATCGCAGAAAAGCCTTTAGCAAACTCCAGGTTTAGGAAGCAGCTTCCAGCCTTTCTCTGGGGCATCTGTGGACTGGGGTGGGCAGGCGTTTCTGGCCTAGATCAGCTCAGGGTGGGTTGGGGAGGGGGTTTCCCACCCAGAAAACTGGGCTCCTAGCAGTGGGGATGCAGGGCTGGCCCTATTCACACCCTCCTGGCTGGGTGGCAGCCCAGTTCTCATCAGCAGGCGCTGAGAGTCCCTCCAGCAATTCGGATACTATTATTTACTATTGCAGAGATTTTTGTGGCTGTGATTTACCACCACTGCGAAGCCCCAGGACCTGAATCCCAGTAGCTTCAGTATAGATATTGCATCGAATCAATCCTCTATTACCGTGCAAATACATCCTATAGGATATTGCTGTATTTTCCCTTCAAACACTTAATACATAATTAATGATATTAAAATACATCTAATGCCACAGAAGATACCAGCCTCAAAAGCTTCCTGTTATAATTTATTCCCACCTAGATAAAAGATTGATTTATTGGTTCACTTATCATTCAGGAGTGGTCCTCTCCTGGCCATCCATGGGAAGGGGCGGTGGAGGCAGGAAGTGCCTGCTGTGTGGCAGACTGCCCTCCAGACAGCATTGAGCCCGGCGGGAGATAGCCACGTGCCAGTGTCTTCAAGGATTACTCATTCAATTCTCCCAAACTACTCCAGGAAGGAGGTCCTGTTGTTATTCCACTCTATAGATGGAGAAACAGAGGCCAGAGAGGCAGCCCCACTTGCCCAAAGTCATAATCTTAGGCTTCCCCACAGGACGGTGGACCTGGAAGGTGGGCTTGGCATTTCTTACCCCTTAAAACGGCAGCCATTGTCACTACTCTGCAGGAGTATTTGAGAATTAGAGATAACAGCAGATGTTAGGCACTAAAACATGCTGCTGACGTCCTTATTTGGAGGTGAAATGGTGAGACCATCAATTTTAAGGGTATTGTTTTGGCAGCTAGGTGGTCTTTTGTTGGGGGGAGTGAGTTGGAAGGAGACAGGGTGTGGGACCCCACTGTCATCAGGCACACACCTTCTCTGGCCGATAAGACACCATGAGAAGAAACCACACTCCAGAGTCCATCTGGGAGTTTCTTCATCCAGGCTTCACCCAGGCCCTCCTGTGAATCACGAGAGCGCTGGACTTGGGAATGAAGATAACGTGGTCCCTGGATGAGGCACTGTGTCTGGTGGAAATGGACAGACACATAACTAGTGTGACGAGGTGTGATGGGTGTTAGCATGCAGGCACCAGGATTCCAACAGCCCGGGGTGCCTGGATGGTGCTGCCAGTGGACAAGGGAAGGAGGTGCTGGGTGAGGGAGTGGCATGTGACCCATGCCGGGCACACGGAGGGTCCTGAGAATGATTGAGGTGAATATCAAGATTGAGATGGCGGGGACAGCAGTCTTGTTCTTCCCGGGGTGTTACAGCGGGCCGCCCATCTTGGCTCAGCTCCTCTGCCCCTTTGTTCTGATGTGGAGGAAATGAACTGGGTTGTGTTCTCCCCAAACCAGGACCGGCAGAGGAGCTGGATGCTGAGCAGGGGCAGGAGGTGGGGACAGGAAGCTGCCTGCAAACAACCACCACAGCCAGGAGGCACGGAGGCTCACTGGGGACCCTTCCTGGGCCAGAGGACTAGGGTTCGAGCTGCTGTTCTTCCCTCCAGCACAGCCATTTCCACACCCCCATGGAATTCTCAGGACGCCCTCTCATTCTTCCTTGTCCCATCCAGACTTTATCCATGGCATTGGTGGTATTGAATGGTATTGAGGGCAGACCCAGCCTGTGCCCCCAGACTGAAGAGCTGCTTCTTGCTCAGGAGTCCTTTGCCTTGGCTTGGGACTTCTCTCCCTTTTGCCTGTGATGTCTTTTCCCTCCCCAGTCCACATTCCCTGTGGCAGGCAGAAGGATCTTTCTAAAGTGCAAACTGGACCATGTCCCTGCCTGTCGGAAACCCTTTAACAGTTTCCCATTGCCCTCGGGATGAAGTCAAAACTCATTAGCACAGAGTCAAGGCCCAGCAGCCTCACCCCATCCTCTATAATCCACCTTGCACTTGATGCTTGGGTAGCACCAAGCCGCTTCTGGTCCTCCCTCCTCCAGAACACACAGTGCTGTGTCACACCTCTGTGTCTTTGCATATGTTGTTTTCTGACTGCAAAGCCCTTCCTACCTTCCTTATGTGGCTGACTCTTACTCATCCTCCACAATTCAACCCAGACACCATCTCCTCCAGGAAGCCTTCCCTGAACTCCCCTCCCTCTGGTGGGCTGAGTGACTTGTCTTTCTGTTCTGACTCTCTGTGCTTATTATAGTCAAATACACTCAACACTGTAGTGAGAGCCTCAGGAGGAGGGACTTGGTCAAACAGGGAGCCAGTACCCAGTGCTGTCCCTGGCATGTAGTAGGGTTAAAGATTTGTTGTCACACTGAACCGGGATAGTCCTTGTCCTTGATATGGAGACTTGATGCTTGCCTGTGGCTCTCCTTGACCTGTGGGGAAGAGGTGGGATTTGGCAGGCAATTTTGGGGTGGACTGTGAGATGTGGGAGCCCGGGCAGTCTTGGGACGCTTCCAGGATCCTGTAGGAGGACCCAGGCTCTTCTGGAGTTTAGAGAACATCACTGCTCTGAGTGCCTGGAGGGTTTTGGCAGGTATTGGGGTGTAGTGCTGTTGCTCAGAGGCTTGAGAAACGAGGATGATCCTGGGTAGTTGAGACCCCTGGGTAGGTAGTCAGTTTCTATTCTCCCTCTTGGCCATGTCTCTGGATTTGTTACAGATTTTGACCTTTTTTTTTTCTTTGAGACAGAGTCTTATTTTGTTGCCCAGGCTGGAGTGTAGTGATACCATCATGGCTCACTGCAGCCTCAACCTCCCAGGCTCAAGCAGTCCCCTCATCTCAGCCTCCCAAGTAGCCGGGAATAAAGGTGCATGCCACCATACCCAGCTAATTTTAAAATTTTTTATAGAGATGAGGTCTCCCTACATTGCCCAGGCTGGTCTCAAACTTCTGGACTCAAGCAATCCTCCTCCTCAGCCTCCCAAATTGCTGGGATTACAGGCATAAGCCACCTTGCCCTGCTATATTTTGACCTTTGAATTGCTTTAATCGGCTCCCTAATTTTTGTCCCTAACTTGATTCTCTGCACCTTCCCCGCCCTCCGCCATGTGTAACACAAGGGATTTAAGCAGAGGAAGATCTTCAAAAAATAGGAGACTCTGAAATGGGTTTTCAGGGAAAGCGTGGCGCCCCCTCTCCTGCTTTGTGCAGAGTAGGCGTGGAGGGTGTGGAAGCATAGGAAAGAGCCCCTTACTTCCTGTGGGATGAGGACAGTGAAATGACATCACCAGACCCTGAGTTCCGAAGGTGGGAAGGGCAGAGAGGACCTGGTTCAGGGCCAGGGATTGCTCTGGGACTCCCCCACTGGAGGCTCGGTGTCCTTCTGGGTAATTTTCATCTTTAATTTCTCAGCGTTTTATGAACAGGGAGTAAATCAGGATCCTGAACCGACTGCTTCATGTAAAGGATTAATAAACTGGAGATTTATGGGGCAGCAGCAGAGGAAGGCAGTGGAAATGGAGAATGAAATGAGACTTGGGCAGAGGCTGGCTCCAGAATCTTCCCTCCATTGTAGGACATCTGCATTCCATTGTAGGGACCCGATTGGGATCCTTGTCCTTCAGGGATCATATTCAGGGTTGGGTGGTGGGCCTGGGCCTGGGCCCTGGCCTGTGTCTTCCATGTAGGAGTAAACCAGGTGGTCCCAAGGTCAAGGGGGCAGAACCATGCCTGGGTCTGTCTAGTTTGACAGCCTGATACCCACTCTTCAGCGTTGCGTATAGATACATGCTGTGGGCTTGGACTCAAATGGTCTAGTTTTGAGTCTATAGCCAGAGGACTGAAGTTGACATTCTCTTTGGCTATATCAGTTAAGCTGCAAGTAACAGAAAAGCATGATATCAGAGGCTTAAATAATAAGAATCTAGGTCCTTTCCGCCTCTCTGGCTGTTCCTCTCGGCGTGTTAGCACATCCTCGCAATAGCGCCTCATGGTGGTGACATGGCTGCAGTAGTTCCAGTCTTACATTCAGAAATGACAATGTCTGGCCGGGTGCAGTGGCTCGTGCCTGTAATCCCAGCACTTTGGGAGGCCAAGGTGGATGGATCACTTGAGGTCAGGAGTTTGAGACCAGCCTGGCCAGCACAGCGAAACCCCGTCCCTACTAAAAATACAGAAATCAGCCGGAGGCTGAGGCAGGAGAATCGCTTGAACCCGGGAGGTGGAGGTTGCAGTGAGCTGAGATCCAGCCTGGGTGACAGAGCAAAACACCATCTCAAAAAAAAAAAAAAAAGAAAAAGAAAAAAAAAAAGAAATGACAATGTCCAGTGGAACAAAGGACTGCCTGTCTCTCTTAATGGACATCTCTTTTTAAGAGCAAGGACACTCTCCCCAGAAGACCTTTGGCAGGCGTTCCTCATATCTTACTGGCCAGAACTGGGTCACATGCTCCTTCCTAAACCAGTCACTAGCATGATGAAAGGGACTACCATGATTGGGTCAGAGTAAGGAAGATTCACTGGGTCATGCTTCCCTGAGTCATGTTGGAGAGAAGTGGGCACCTAGACAGAAGTGGGGCACTCAGGGAATGGGGAAAGGGCGTGGCTGCTGGACAGGCATTTGCTGTGGTGACTTTGGGTAGTTTGTTTTAGCTTGCTAAGCCTTAGTTTCCCCATCTGTAAAGTGAGAATAATCATAATAGTACTTTCTGGCCAGGTGCAGTAGCTCATGCCTGTCATCCCAGCACTAGGGGACACTGAGGTGGGCGGATCACTTGAGGTCAGGAGTTCGAGACCAGCCTGACCAACATAGTGAAATCCTGTCTCTACTAAAAATACAAAAATTAGCCTGGTGTGGTGGTGGGCACCTGTAATCCCAGCTACTTAGGAGGCTGAGGCTGGAGAATCGTTTGAACCTGGGAGGCGGAGGTTGCAGTGAGCTGAGATCATGCTCTTGCACTCCAGCCTGGGCGACAAAGCTACACTCTGTTTCAAACAAACAAAATAATAATAATAGGATTTTCTTGTAGCGTTGTGAGAATGAAATGTGACATGTATGCTAAGTGCTTAGCAGGATGCCTGGCACATAGTATGCTCTATGCTAGGTGCTGGTATTATGAACAGCCCAGTGATATGAGCACGCTGCTTAACCTGTTTGGGTAACAGTGCTGTGTAAAATGGACACGGTGTTATCTCTCTAGGGTCACACCTGCCTTTTGTTAACACTAGGAGACTGAGGTGGTGTTGTTATTGTCATAGCCCTATGGCATCCTCGTTCGTAACCTGGGCTTTCATATCAGACTAGGGTCCTCCACTCACCTAGTAGTGTGACATTGGTGAAACTAGTTAACCTCTCTGAGCCTCTGTTTCCTCATCTGTAAAATGGTGATACTTTTACTCATCTTATAGTGTTGTTGGGTGAGTTAAGTAAATAAGGCAGGTAAGTATGGCACTTGGCTGGCACAGGGCCTGGCACACGGTAGGCCTCGATAAAACTCCTTGCCTTTCCTTTTCCCTCATAGGCACTCATTTCATTTGGCGCATGACCCTAATCAGAGACTGGAGGTATAAGGAGCAGGGTCTGTTCTCCTGGGGGTGGTATGATGAAGCAGAAAATGAAGGCCAGGGTTCAGACCCTAAGGTTCTGGAGTGCCAGCTGGGAAATGAGGCAGGAGAGAGCTAGGATTTTAGAGGAGAGAGCTAGGATTTTAGAGCTAGGATTTAAGGGAGCTAGGATTTTAGAAGAAGCCAACAGGCCAGGGGCAAAGAGAAGGGTGGAGCTCAGATGGCACAAGGCTGTCCAGAGCTCCCCGGGGACTTGGAATGCTGAGTCTCTCGCAGCACAGCTGATTCCAGATCCTACTGTCTGCCTTGACTGGGGCCGGTCCAGCTGTAGGTAAAAGCCTCCTAAGGGCTGGTGGCCAGGACTGGGAGTGGGGAGAGAAGATAATGGGAAATGGTTAAGCTATGGGTCTGGGAAGTTGCTAGGGTTGCCAGAGAAGGTCTCTACAGCCTGTAGGTCTTGGTGCATTCAGGCTGGCTGCCCCAGGGCCACCTTTGACTCTTGAGACCTGCCTCTGGAGGATGTTCAGCTCTGCAGGCTCCTGGCCTAGGCTGCCTGCCGAGGGCAGCTTGGTGGAGGGGTTCTGAGCAGCACCTGTGGACTCCTCCTGCCTGGGTTCAAGGCTCAGCTCTACCACCATCATCTCAGTAATGTGGGGCAAATCCTTTAGCTTCTGTGTACCTCAGTTTGACCATCTGTAAAATGGGCTTGAAATAGAACCTAACTTGTAGGGTTGTTGGGGGGATTGGAAGTGGGTGAACACTCAGCACAAGGCCTAGCACACGGTAAGGGCTTGGTGAGGGTTAGTTGTTATTTGAGGATGATAAACACATGTATTCCGAGCTTCCACAAAGCAAATTGTATTTTTCTCTTACTTGCTCTTCCATGACCCAAGTCGTCACTACTGAGGGGGAGAAGGGTGGAGAGAAAGCTGGAAAAACCTATGCTTCATTAGTGATTAAGCATCACTATAGCTGCCCAAAGGGCCTGTGAAGCTGCCAGAGAAGCTGGTGTGAGCACAAAAGGGTCCAGGGATGAGGATTAGCAAGCAAGGGAGGGGCGGGAGTTTGAATCAGCAGCTCAGTTCATGACTCAGGAGACGGTTGGAGCATCTGTTTCTGTAGAGTGCTCAGGGGCAGCCTGTGTAGGAAAAACAGCTCCTCTCCCTTCTTCAGAATGAAACTCTGTGGAGCCCTGATGTAATTTGGGAGCCTGGAGGGCAGGGCCCAGGAAGGGCCTCATGTGCCTTCTTGGCATCTTTGACAACTTCCGTTCTGACCCCGCCATTATCTAGAGGCCGTATCACACCCTATAACCGTCCCCTCTCCCTGGGCAGATTATGTGTCCTACTTCTGTCAGCCCTCAGGGGGGTTCATCTGCAGCACACTCCTTCATGCAGACTTCACTTGGCCAGGGTTCCGGTTTCTGGAAAGTCCTGCCTTGGGGGATGGTGGGGGTTGGGGTGTGAAGTAGGGCTCCTCTTTACCTGCAGGTCTGTTGCAGCCTGCATTTCCCAGCCTGTGTTCTGTGGAACACCAGTTCTGCAGAATGTTCTATAAAGGTTCCAAAAAGTCTGCAGGAAATGGACATGATTGCTTTCTTTAACCTAGTATTTTCTAAAATTATTTAACCATGGGACCTTATTCTCTATAGAACGCTTTTAACATCCTAAGGAAGTGGTGTTGTGGGACCCACTTTGGGCAAGGCTGCTGTAGGAAGGAGCCCACTTGGCCAGGAATGGGAACGCTGCCTCTCTGGTTCTGTGGGTCCACACAGACTGAGTGATTTGGACGAGCCAAGTCCCCTCTCTGGGTTTCCATTTCTTCTGCTTTAGAACATATGGGTGAGAATAATGCCTCTTCCATCACTTACATACTAGAGTGGGTTTTTAAAAACTCTTTACAATGAAAAATTTTGGAGACCCCAGGTAGAGAGAACAGTATAGTGCACTCCCACGTCCGCATCACCTGCTTCAGCAATTACTTGCATTTTGCCTATCTTGTTTCATCTCCCCCCTTTTATAAGAATGGTTTTGAAGATGAGGTGAAATTAAGTCTATGAAAGTGCCTTGCAAACTTCAAAGTGCTATAGAAATGTAAGACATCTATCATTATTATTATTAACTTTATTATTCTTATTCCTAAAGTTCAAAGTGCTGCACAGATGTAAGGCATCTGTCATCATTATTAGTATGCTTATAATTTCTTATTACTGTCTCTAGTCACATCACCAAAAATGCCCAGTAATGTGGATATTATAGACCTCCATTTGTAAGAAGCTGGGCTGAGCCCTGAGGGGAAATACGTTTATAACCCAGCCCTGCTGCCAGAGGGCTTACAATCTAGTGGGGGAGGTAAGACAGAAGGTTTGAAAAACAGCCTCACAGTTCCTGGTGGAACCGTGGGCAGCTGCCAGACAAGGGAGCAGGCAATTCTAGAGTAATTCAGGGAAGGAGAGAAGCAGGAGGCAGGGAGTATGTAGCCAGAGGCTTTCCTTCACTGGAGAGAGTCCCCTCTACCCAGCTAGTTTGTGAGCTTGCCTGGGCTCGGAGGCAGCTGGAGGGATGAGATGCCCTTTCCGGGACACAGCCGCCTAAACCCTAGTGATGCAGTGGTTCTAAGGAGGACAGATTCTGGACCTTTGTGAATGACATGAATCTCCCTCTCTTGTAGGAGGTAAAGTTGCTGCCAGCACTTCCCAACAGGACAGGAAGTTCGCACCACTGCCACTTTCAGACAGAATTTGTTGCAGCCTCAAAACAAACAGAGCTTGAGACCAAACAAATAGATCCAGAGTAACCCCAACCTTTCTGAGGCCAGCCCCATTGCCCAATGGGGTCCCCTCATTTTAATCACCTAAATTCCAGTTTCCCATCTTGGCCAGCTCTGTGTCCTTGTCCTGGGGCCTCCACCCAGCTGCTCCCCGCTACCCAGCTCTCTCTGTTGTCTGGGCTTTGCCAAGGGCCCTTCCTCCCTGTGGGAGCCTTGCCATTCCTCTTCCTTCCCCAGAGCAGAGAGAGACTCAGAGATTCAGAGTATGCAGCCTCGGAAGGGCCACCAAAGCTGTCATCCTACTGAATTGTCTATGTAGGAGATGGAATTTCAGTCCCAGATTGTAACTTGTAGGGGAACAAACAGCTCTCTCTTGGCTACCGATAAGTTTGGCTTGAATTTTGCTTTGAAAACATGTAAGCCAAGAGAAGATTTTACATTAAAAAATGTATTTCCAGTTTCCTGGAGAAGATCTGCAACTCCAGGCCCACATTTCTGCCTGGCAACAGTCGAGGGAGCTGAGTGGTGGCCTCCCCATTCGGCTGGGACACGTGCATATCCAGGTCGCCATGGCCCACCGGGAGCCTGGGGCTTGTGGACAGTCCTGCTCTGGCCCTGGTGCGCATTGGGGCTGGGGAAGCATACCACAGAGAGCTTGGTTGTGCTCAGAAGCTGCAAGGCTAGTTAACCCAAAATTTGTTTCTGCTTGACTTTGTTGTTTCTGGTCATGATGGGTTTGTCATCATTATTTGACTAAGAACATTTTTTCTTGAGTGATATATCAGGATCCTGGCAGGTGACAAGTGGTGAACACAAGCCGGGCAATTTGATGAGTGCTTAATAAAGGGACTGTTTACAAAGGGGAGGGCAGAGTGCAGGAAAATCAGCAAAGGGTAGTGCAGCACCCTGACGCTAGCACCAGTGGGGAGCAGTTACCACCGCCAGGTCTGCAGGGACTTGGAGAGGGCGCTGTGTAGAGAGGACTGCCTGTGACAGGAGTGGGGCCTCCTGGGATGGAGGCAGCCAAATCACAGTGACCCAGCTCAGTCTCCTCCAGCTCTGGGACATCCTGTGGCGTGCCCCACTACCCAACCCAACTGGAAGCCAGAGATCAAGGGGGCCTCCTCTCATAAAGCCCATGCTTGTCAGCCTCCTGGGCCTGGAGCAGAGGGAAGCATGGAGAGAAGCTCTGGAGAAACACGTGGAAACCATCCAGCACTGGCAACAGTGTGATAAGGTGATGAGTCCCAACCCCTCTGCTGGCTTGCGGTAGGAGATGGTTCTGTCGTGTGGGGATGCTGGTCTGATAATGGGGAGCCATCTTCTCTCTGGGGTAGGGGCTGTTATTTCTGGGGCCCAAGAGCTCGTGCCCTGCAGGCCTCTTGGCCTGGTTTTCCGTCCTGCTGTGTGTGGCTCCTCTGTGTCTGTGTGCATGTGTGAGTGCATGGGCACCCCCTCTCCCCAGCTGCCTCTTTCTCTGGGGCTCCATAGCCTGTCACAAGTAGAAGCCTTCCTTCTAAAAGGAAACCTGGTGGAGGAGGAAGAGCAGGTCTGGCTGTCTGTGGAGGGCTGGCTCCGTAGTCTTGGTGGTGGGGACAAGGCTTCGTAAGCCCCTGGGCAGGGCTCCGTCACTTTATTGACTCTCCTACTTGAATGCTTTCTGTGTGTGGTGTTTTCTGAAGAGCCTTCCTGCTGTGATATGATTTGCTAAGCTCCCCTGGTCTCGAAGGATCTTCCCCAGTAGCCTGCCTTGGATTTTGAGATTCTCTGCAGCTTTCCAGCCCCAGAGAAGGTTAAAACTTAAAGGACCTTTCCACCCCCTCATTTGGCAGAGAGCACACCGAGGCCCAGGGAGAGGAAGTGACCTGCCCATAGTCACAAGGTGACTTAGGGCCCAGGGCAGGAATAGGAACCTGGACTAGCTCTTGGGCTTGGGGGGTTCTGTGGCCTCACCCCAGATGCCCTGGCATGTGTCATTGGAGTGGGGAGGTGGTGGAGTCTGACGGGAAGGCTGGAGCACCCAGAGGCTGGCTGGGCCCAGCTAGTCTTAGAAGATGGTATCTGAAGCATAAAAGAATCTACTGTCTAAGTGGGCTGGGGTGGCCCTTCCCTGGGGACCACTGGTGGAATGGGGACCAAGAAATATAAGATAACAGCCATTTCAGGGCATGTCCCAAACAGCAGAAGCCCGGCGCTTCCATGGCTTGAACTGGGGAAGAAAGGTGCTGTCTTCTCCTTCTCCTCTCCTCTCCCTTCCTGCCCTCTCTGCAGGAGATGCTGAGAAGCTGGGTGAAGCTCAATGGGGGTCCTGCCCCAGGAGAAGCAGGTATGCGGGTGGGTGGTGGGCATAGAGAAGTGGAAAGAATTCCTGGCGTTAGAAGGAAGGCCCGAGTTCAGTTCTCCCACTTGGCCGTGTGATCTTGTATACAAATCATTTAAAGTGCTGGACTTCTGTTTTCATTTGTGTGAAATGGGGAAAATAATACCTCAGAGGATTGCTATGGGATTTATTACTATTAATATCCAATATTAATAATAATGCTGAGGATAAAAGGTCTAATTTACTGGGGCTTACTACGTGGCAGGCACTGGGCTCAGCAATTCCCACGCGTTATCCTGTTTAATCCTCACAGCAGCTCCAGGAGGAAACTGAGGCTCAGGATGATCCCGTCAGTAAGCAGCACAGCAGGGACTCAGTGAGGTAATGGAGGAAGGCATCCTCCACGAACCGCAGAACCCCAGCTTATTTTCTATTGACCTAATAAAAGATGTTCCCATGCTGTCAGTGTTACTACCTAGTCCTCCCCATGGGCTGTAGAAATCCTCAGAGATGTCTTTCAGAACAAGGCTTTTCAGAGGCCTCCGTGGACCTGTTTCCACGCCTCACACCACCTCCCTGGGAATCCTGCCTGGGTTGTGATTTTCCGAAGGAGGAAAAGAGCCTGGCAAACGAGAAGACCATCTTGTGACTTGACTGCTGGCTTCTGGCAACCTGTCCTCCCAGCAGAGCCTGAAGCCCCAGCGGGCTGCAGGGCTGCCTCTGGGTATGTGTGTGAGTGTGCATGCGCTAGAGGATGTGTGTGAACACACGTGTGTTTGTGTGCCCATGTGAGGGTGTGAGTATACAGCAGTCACCCCTTATTCTCGGAGGACATGTTCCAAGCCCCCCCAGTGGATGCTGTGGACAGTACCGACCCCTATATAGACTATGTTTTTTCCTGTACGTACATACCTATAATAAAGTTTAATTTGTAAATTAGGTATAGTAAGAGATTAACAATAACTGATAATAAAATAGACCAATTATAACAATATAGCAGCATCACTACTGTTGCGCTTTGGGGCCATTATTAAGTAAATTAAGGGGCTGGGTGCAGTGGCTCATGCCTGTAATCCCAGCACTTTGGGAGGCCGAGGTGGGTGAATCCCTTGAGGTCAGGAGTTCAAGACCAGACTGGCCAACATGGTGAAACCTTGTTTCTACTAAAAATACAAAAATTAGCCAGGCGTGGTGGCACACGCCTGTAATTCCAGCTACTTGGGAGGCTGAGGCAGGAGAATCACTTGAAATGGGGAGGTGGAGGTTGCAGTGAGCTGAGATCATGTCACTGCACTCCACCCCTGGGTGACAGAGTGAGACTGTCTCAAAAAAAAAAAAAGTAAAATAAGGGTCACTTGAACACAAGCACTGAGATACCACCGACAGTCGATCTGATAGCCAAGATGGCCACTAAGTGACCAATGGGCAGGGGGCGTCTACAGCGTGGCTACACTGGACGAAGGCATGATTCATGTCCCGGGCTGGAGGGAGTAAGAGGGCACGACATTTCATCACACTACTCAGAATTGCATGCAAGTCAAAACTCATGAACTGTTTATTTCTTGAATTTGCCATTTAACATTTTTGGACTGTGGTTGGTAACTGAAACTGCAGAAAGCAAAACTGTGGATAAGGGGCTGCTGTATGTATGTGTGTTCATGTGAGTGTGAGTGTGGGTGTGGACATGACAGTGGGTGGGAGTGAATGTGTGCATATGAGCATGTTTGCATGTGCCTGTATATGTATGTAAGCTGTTACGTGCTGTGTGCATGCCTCAGTGTGTGATCTTATGCGAGTGTGTGCTTGTAAACATATGCCTTCATGTGAGCATATATGTATTCATGTAAGTGTGTGTATGATAGTGTGCGTGTGTGTGTGAGTGCATGGGGTTGTGTGCATGTGTCTATGATTGTATATGTATGTAAGCTGTTTATATGTGCATGTGTGTGCTCAAGTGTGCAGGACCATATGTGAATGTGTGCTTGTAAACATAACGCTGGTGTGTGAGTGTGTCTGCCAGATGTGACCAGATGGGTTAAGCCCACTAGGTTCCTGCCTCCAAAGGGCATCATTAGGAAGCATTTGAATTTTCCAGACCCAGTTAAGGAGCCTGGTAAGGTAGAGGGTGGCACCACCCACTGAGCGCTGGTCTCCCCGCTCCTCACTAGGGCTCTTGAAGGCCATATTACCTACGGAGAACAGCATCCTCAGCCATTGCCTTTCTGGGCAGAGAGCTGGTTTTTATTGCCACTCTTAGGCAAAATGGAGTGTGGGTGGTGGGCAAGCATGCTGAAGAGGCCTCTTTTTCAGGCAGGGCTGCTGCCTCTTCCCCAGGATGGGAAATGGCTCCTGCAGGTTTGAGCCTTGGCTCTGCTCCCTAATGGGCACTTGGTAGAGGTGCTGGGCCGTGACCAAGTGTGAATCCATGCCAGGCCACTCACCTTGGCTGGGAGAGCAGATGGCAGGGCCGGGCCCTTCTGGCTGGCTGCTCTGCCCAGCCTGGGCCTTGCTGCACACTGCCTCCTTGTCTCAGGGTCTCGGGAATGGCCAGACCACACACGCCGTGTTCTTTCCTGTGCCTGTATTCTCCAGCAAGACCCTTCCTCCCAGGAGGAGAGGGGCTGGCGTGCTTGGGCTAAGGGGAGAGAAGGTTGGGGAAAGAACTGTGCAGCTCAAGGAGAAATGAGTGCTTGGGGGTGCTGATTGAGATGAATATGCATTTTGTAAGCCTTGCCCGTCACTAAACCAATTAATGAGATTCACTCCCCCATCTGGGGAAATATTACAGCTAATCCTTGGATAGCACTTATGCTATGACAGGTACTTTATTTATATATATAAATATATATATATGAGATATACATATATGATATATATAAAATGTATATATAAAATATATATACTTTATATATTATATATAAATATATACTTTATATATAAATATATAATATAATAAGTAATAATATATAATATATATTAAATATATATAATAAATATATATATATTTTTGAGACAGAGTCTCACTCTGTTGCTCAGGCTGGAGTACAGTGGCGCCATCTTGGCTCACTGCAAACTCCGCCTCCCGGGTTCAAGTGATTCTCTTGCCTCAGCCTCCCAAGTAGTTGGGATTACAGGCATGCGCCACCATGCCCGGCTAGTTTTTTTGTTTCTTTGTTTTTTAGTAGAGTTGGGGTTTTGCCATGTTGGCCAGGCTGGTCTCGAACTCCCGGCCTCAAGTGATCCACCTGCCTTGGCCTCCCAAAGTGCTGGGATTACAGACATGAGCCACTGTGCTCGGCCAGATACTTTATATGCATTAATTCCTTTTATCCACACACACATCAGCCCTATGAGGTAGATAATGTTATTATCCTCTCAGTTTACAGACGAGAAAACCAAGGCTCAGAGAGGTGAAGGAACTTGTCCAAGGTCACAGAGCTGGTAATAGGCGGAGCTGGGATTAATGCTAAGTGGTCTGGTTCTGGAGACTGCAGTTAACCACTACATTATATTATGTCTTGAAGTAGCAAAGTGTCCTGTTGTTGATTAAATTTCCCCCATCATGACTGATTGAAAAAAGAGGCCCGTCACCTGTACTGTCCTTCCTGGGCCAAGCAGGGGGCTGACCTCTTGAGGGAGGTTGTAGTAGTGGAAGAATACCCAACACTCAGCCACCCCAAGGAGGGGGACGTACAGGAGTTCGGGCCACTGGGGCTCAGTCCTTCATGAACCCACACCCTCCACACATAATGAGTGCCTAAATGACTAAAACAAGAGAAAGATTTGTAGCAGCTTTATTGAAATATAATCCACATACCATAAATCCACCATTTTATTTTTTATTTTGTTTCATTTTTATTTTATTTTTTTGAGACTGAGCCTTGCTCTGTTGCCCAGGCTGGAGCGCAATGGCACCATCTCAGCTCACTGCAGCCTCTGCCTCCCAGGTTCAAGCGATTCTCCTGCCTCAGCCTCCCGAGTAGCTGGGATTACAGGCATGTGCCACCACGCCTGGCTAATTTTGGTATTTTTAGGAGAGGTGGGGTTTTACCATGTTGGCCAGGCTGGTCTCAAACTCCTGGCCTCAAGTGATCCACCCATCTCGCAATTCACTATTTTAAAGTGTACAATTCAATGGTTTTTGGTGTATGCACAGAGTTATGCAACCATCACCACAGTCAATTTTGTAGTATAATCCCACAATTACCCCAAAAAAGTAACCCTATATCCCTTATCAGTCACTCCCCATTTCCCCTCCCCCAGCCCCTGGCAAGCACTTATCTACTTTTGTCTCTGTGGACTTGCCGGTTTTGGACAATTCATATAAATGGAATCATACAATATGTGGTCTTTTGTGACTGATTTCTTTCACTTAGCATGTTTTCAAGGTCCATCCGTGTTGTAGCATGAACTAGTTAGTACTTCATTCCTTTTTATTGCCAAATAATATTTCACTTTGTGAATATAGCACGTTTTATTTATCCATTCATTGGTTGTTAGAGATTTGGTTTGTTTCTGCTTCCTGGCTATTATGAATAATGCTGCTATGAAATTCATGTACAGGTTTTTGCAGGGACACGTATTTTCTTTTATGTTGGGTACATGCCTAGGAGTGGAATTGCTGGGTTATATGGTAACTCTATGTTTAACATTTGAGAAACTGCACGACTGTTTTTCAAAGTGGCTACACCATTTTACATTCCCACCAGCAGTGTATGAGGGTTTTCATTTCTCCACATCCTCATCAGCATTTGTTATTATCTGAGTTTTTGATTGTAACCATCCTAGTGGGTTTGAAGAAGTTATCTCAAAGTGGTTTTTATTTGCATTTCCCTGAGGATTAGCGGTGTTGAGCTCTTTTCATGTGCATATTGGTCACTTATATACCTTCTTTGGAGAAGTGTCTATTCAGATCCTTTGCTCATTTTAAACTTAGGTCCTAAGAAGATGAATGAATGAGCGAATGAGCCAGCCTACTACAAACCAGGCACTGGGGAAGCCAGGATGAATGAGACCCGGTCCTTGCCCTTGGGAAGCTTATAGCTCCTTAATTGTGCGGGAGACGAACACAAGACAAACACAATTGTGTAGGAGGCAAACACAAGGAGTCAGAGAGATATAGTAAATGCTTGAACAGCAATAGGTGCAAGAGGCTGTGGGTGGCTGCTGCTGATTGCATCTGACCAGGCGTCAAGGAAGGAAGATTGGGGGAGAGTAGGTTTGAGGAAAGGCCTTTTGAGTGGAAGAATTTGCTCTGGAGAAGGCCCACAGTATAGTTGGGGAGCAGCTGGGAAATCAGGAGCAGGATGAATGGCGAGGCAGGGCATCTGGAGGTTGGTACTGGGTCCAAGGAGAAAGAGCCAGGAGATATACCTGTGTGCTGAGGGTCACAGAGTTGGGGACGCTGAACTTGGGTTTAGATTTGCCATCAAAACCCTGCCTGTCCTCAAGGCCTCCTAACAGAATTGCTGAAGCTGCTGCTGTGGTACCGGGTGGGTCCTTTTATGTTTTAGTAATTACCCTGTCACCCACCAAAAATAATTTCATCTTGGGAAGAAGGGAGGTTTGGTGGTATCGAAAACTGCTGCCACGTAAGTGCAAGCGGCCTAATTGGGATTCATAAATCCACTTTTTAACAAGCACAATTAGGAATACTTATTGCCGGCCAGCTTGAGGAAATCAGGAAAGTGCTGTTAGCAGGGGCAGCTTTTATGTGGCTTTATGTAATGGGATTGAAGACTTGGTTTGATCCTGGCATCTCAGTTAGTCACAAAGGGAGCAAGTCTCAACTTAAAAGTGGAATTTTACCCCAAAGTTTAATTCTCAGGGGGTTGTTAGGCAAAATTATAGTAGGAAGAGAGAGATTGTTCTTTAGGGAAAAATGTTAAATCCCATCAAGTTTGGAAAAAGATAAGGGAGTACCCCAGAAATCAGACAAAATATGGACAGAATTTGGAGAGACATATACTCAAATAAAGAGAGGTCTGTCCCCGCTCCCTCCCCACTTCTCTCTGCCTTCTAAGTGCTCAGCTGTGCCAGGGCTGTGGGGAGGGTGGTATGGTCTGAGTCCTTAGGAGCCGGTGGTCTGACTGGAAAGGGTGAACGAGGTCCTCTGACAGTTGTGAAATTATGTGAGGTCTGTAGATACCAAAGGCAATGGAGGGTAGAAGCAGCTGTCAGTGGAAGGAGGGATGCTTGCAGGCTAGAATAATCTGGAAAGCTTTCAAGGGAGAAGAAGCAGGACTGAGCTGGGGCCGGAAGCATGGGCAGGATTCAGGAGTGTGGGAGGGAGGCAGGCGTGCTGGAGCGGCTGCGAGCCCGTGACCCAGGCAGCCCTCTCCCAAGGAGAGTCGCAGAGAGGAAGACAGAAGTACTGAATGCAGTTGGGAGGCCTGGGGGATGGTCCCTGCAGGCTGTTACCCTGCCGTGGGACTCAGGCCAGCACCATCCCTGTGGATTAAAAAAAAAATTTTTTTTTAAATTTGAAATCATTTTAGACTCACATAGAAGTTGCAAAAATAGTAGAGAGTTCTTGGGTACCCTTCACCCAGCTTTCACCCTGATGATGACCAAAACCAGGAAATTGACATTAATACCACTTACTAAACTACAGCCCTTACTTCCATTTCCCCAGTTTTTACATGCACTCACTTTTTGGGGGAAGTGTATATTCCTCTGAATTTTGTCATATGCATTAATTTATGTAACCACGACCACAATCAGAACTGCTGATTTAAAACTCTTGGCGACTCCTGTGGCTGGGCATGGTAGCACATGCCTGTAACCCTAGCAGTTTGGGAGGCCGAAGCAGGAGGATCACTTGAGCCCAGAAGTTTGAGACCATCCTGGGCAACACAGTGAGACCCTGTCTCTATAAAAATTAAAAAATTAGCCAGGCACGGTGGCACACACCTGTAGTCCCAGCTACTCTGGAGGCTGAGGTGAAAGGATTGCGTGATCCTGGGAGGTCAAGGCTGCAGTGAGCCGAGATCACGCCACTGCACTCCAGCCTGTGTGACAGAGTGAGACCCTGTCTCAAAACAAAGCAAAAAAAAAAAAAAAAAAACCCAACGAAACCTCCTTGTGCTCCTCCTTTATGATCATACCCTTCCTCTCCTCCTCCCCTGGCAACCACAGATTTGTTCTCCATCACTCTAATTTTGTCATTTTGAGAATGTCATATAAATGGGATCATACAGTAATCTCTCGAGACTGGCTTTTTTTCACTCAGTGTAATTCCCTAGATTATTGTGCCATCAATTCATTAATTTTTATTGCTAAGTAGTATTCCACGGTGTATTCGTTTTCTAGGGCTGCCGTAACAAAGTACCACATGGCGGGGGGTGGGGGGTTCTTAAAACGACAGAAATTTGTTTTCCCACAGTTCTAGAGGTTAGAAGTGTGAAATCAAGGTACTGGAGGTTCTAGGGAAAAAATCCCTCCTTGCTTCTCCCCAGGCCTTTGTGCTGCTTGTAGATGCACTGCTCCAGTCTCTACCTCTGTTGGCACATGGTCTTCACGTGGCCTTCTCATAAGGACACCAGTCATTGGATTTAGGGCCCACCCTAATCCAGTATGACCTTATTTTAACTAATGATATCTGCAAAGACCCTATTTCCAAATAAAGTCACATTCTGAGGTTCCGGGTGAACATGAATTTTTGGGGAACACTATTCAACTTAATATATACGGTATGGATGTACCACAGCTTGTTTAACCATTCACCCATTGGAGGACATCTGGGCTATTTACAGGTTTGGGCTATTATAAATAAGGCTGCTATAAACTTTCTCATATAGATTTTTATGTGAACATAAGATTATCTCTGGGATAAATGCTCAAGAGTGCAATTGCTGGGTTGTATGGTAGATACGTTTTTTTTTGTTTTGTTTTTGAACACCAGTGCCACTTGCCAAGCACATTTAATTTTTTAAGAAACTGCCAAAATGTTTTCCAGAGTGGCTATACCATTTCAAATTCCCATCAGCAATGTATGAGTGATCCAGTTTCTCCACAACCTTGCCAGCATTGGGTGTGGTGGCGTTTGTACTTTAGCTATGCTGATATGAGATTCTGCATGAGATCTCATTGAGGTTTTAATTTGCATTTCCCTAATGGCTGATGATGTTGAGCATTTTTTTCATGTGCTTATTTGCCATCTGTATGTCCTCTTTGGTGAAGTGTCAGTTCAAGTGTTTCACTCATTTTTAAAATTGACTTTTTGACTTCTTCCTGTAGAGTTTAGAGAGTTCTTTCTGCAGCTGGATATAAGTCCTTTGTTGGCTATGTGATGTGCAGATATTTTCTCCCGCTCTGTAGAGTGTCTTTTCATTCTCTTCACAGTGTCTTTTGCAGAGCACTTAATTTTCATGAGCTCTGATTTATTGATTCTTTCTTTTATGGATTGCACTTTTGGTGTCATGTCTAAGAACTCTTTGCCCTAAGAGATATTCTTCTATGTTTTCTTCTAGAAGGTTTTACATGTTACATTTAAGACCGTCCATTTTGAATTTAAATATATAAACATTACATCTCTCCCTATAGACATGTCTATGTCTCTATCTCTATCTATATGTAGATAAGGTTTAGGTTAAGGTTTTTTTTTTTTTTTTTGCCTGTGGATATCCAGTTGTTCTGATACCATTTATTGGAAAGGCTATCTTTTCTCTTCCAACATTTTTAAGCTTCAGTGTGGTGTGGTAAACAGGCACTTCAGACTGATTTTACTGCTAAGGAAGCTGAAACCCAGGGAAGCTGAGGGACTGGTTTGAAGTCACACTGCAAGCCATCAACAGATGGGGGCTAACATCCGGGTTTTCATGGTCCAAGTACATTCTATTTTAAAGATGAGAAAACTGAGGCTACTTAGTGCCAAAACAGGCCCTGGCTTCCCACTAGGGGCCACCTTTTTTGTTTTGTTTTGTTTTAATCAGTTCCCAGGGGGCCACCTTTTGTGAAGCAAGTGGACAGGCAAGCAAACAATCAAAAACGAAAGTTCCACATTTTGGCAGTAAAACCTTCATCCCCGCTCCAGTGCCTCCATCTCCACATGAAACTCCTTGGAGCAGGGAGGGTTTGATTGGCTAGGTGCCACAGGGATCAAGCCTGGATCCGAGGAGTGGGTCCTAAATGGGAAAATCGAGTTTGGGGACAGATTGCAGGGGTCTCTTCCTTAGCTTTTAGAGCATGATGACTCTTGTTGGGGAGCCCTGGTTGCAGGCCCCATGAGCCCTGCCCTGGCATGCGGGTGTGTTGGCAGCGTTTGGGGATCATCACTGTGGCCCTGGGAACAGGCTTTTAGCTTAATTCAACCAAGTGTCTTAAAATGGCAACTCATCAGTTAGCTTTCATTTTGTTCCTTTCTTTAATGTATCTCCCTCTAGGGATGAACCACATTGATGTAAATGCTGGGTGATTTTTCCCCCATTTTTAAATTTTGGGGACATATAGGTGATTGTCGACTGTAACAACCCAGCCAAAACCAATAAAAGTATCTCTTTCCTTCATTGAAAGAAAGAGGCTCCCAATAAATCCTGTAAAATGGCAGTGCTTGTGCCCTTTTCTGAGAAGGATGCTGGGGACATGTGCCAAGAGCTGCCGAGAGATCACCCAGCAAGTTATTGGCTTCAGGACACCGAATTTCCCACAAAATAACAGAGAAGCTGTGGGGTGAATAGGGACAGGGACCTGACCCTTCTCCATTACTCAGCTGAGGCCCAAGCCTCTCTCTGGGGAGGGATGCTTGGGGCCTCAGCTTTCTGGATGGTTCCTGGGAAAGTTGGAGTCAGGAGGCCCGAGTTCTAGAAGCAGCTCTGCCAGGGACTGGCTGTGTGGACAGAGGCAAATCTCTTCCCTTCTTTGGGTCCCCTTGGGTCTGACATGAAGGATTAGATGAAACAAGGGGCCTAATGTCACTCCAAATTCTGTGGTACCCACAACATCAGGCTTGTCTCCATCTTGGCCATGAAAATTCCCTTTCCTGTGCCTTAATCCCCTGGCCAGGTACTTCTGCCCTGGAAGATGTGAACACATATTTGCATGTTGGCCACCTCTACAAAGAAAGTCCCACACTTTAGTGGGGATACAGAGGGTCTTTTTAACATCAAACAACAAGTTCTGTACCTGGGAGGAGTGGGTAGTCAGTTCTTATCACAAGCCTCAGCTGCATAGCTGTCCTTTTGTGAAGTAGATGTTGGTCAAACACCACATCCAAAGGGGCCCATCTCCACACTCATCTTCCTGCTAAGCCTAGTCTGTGTGAGAGGGAGCTGGAGGCTGTCCCTGCGCAGGTGAACCCTCTCTCTTAGCCATTTTCCCTCTCTGGGCCTCAGGCTCCTTATCTGTGAAAGGAGAGAGTCGGACCAGCTGGTCTCTGAGGTGCCTTCTGTGGATAGCTCATGATTGTCTGTCTTGTTCTAGACATGCCCCCTGACTTAGGTGGGGTTTCCTGAGAAATAGACTCTGAGGTGGAGATCTCATGCAGCAAGATTTTTAGGGAGTGCCCTTGGTGTCAACACGTGGAGGAAGTGAAGGAAGCAAAAGGAGCAGAAAGAGAAGTTGGGCTGCAATGTGGTGGCAACCAAGGCCTCGGCCAGTCCCATGGGGTGCTCTGGAGAAGGCCCTGCAGAATTGCCCTGCCTTGAGGCAAGAGGGCCAAGCCTTTGAAAGCACCTTCTCTTTAGCCAACTAACCAGGCATTGGAGGTTTGGGGTGTATCCTTGAGCCAAGTGGCTCTCTGTAGCTGAGGATAATTCTAGAGAGTGACTTGGGAATGAGTGCCTCAGTCCTGAAGGGGGTTCTGGGCAGCATACTGTAGCCTTCAACATATCCCTCCTCCTCCTTTCTCCCTAAATACTCCAGCCTGAGATACGTCCATTTCTGGGTTAGAAAATCTAGCCCAGATTTCTGTACTTCTGACTGTCAGCTGCTTCCAGGTTGGACCAGGGTCTGGGCAGCACTAGGACTTGCCTCTCTGCTGCCTCCCTTCTTTGGTTTGCCTGGGACCTGTGCTATGCCAGAGAAGGTGGAGGTTGGGGTGGGTTGCTCAGCAGGGCCCTGGAAGGCAGGAAGCATCTTGTCTTCCACAAACATGGCTGAGTACCAGCTGTGTGCAGGGTACTGGGCACAGTGCTGCTGTGAGAGTCCCAGGGCCCAGATTAGGAAGATCTCTGGCTGAAGGGAGTTCGTATGTGACCTGACCCTTCTGCGGTTCTGTGCCTCAATGTCTCCTTAGGGCAATGATAGGGCATCCTTAAGAACCACAGCCACTTCCCTGGGATGTGGATCCCCCTACATGATGGCTGCAGTCCCCCAAGATTGGACAGTGCATAATTTCAAGAAGGATCTGGAATCCTTCCCCCAAAGACTCCTCCAGGCCAACAGCTGCCATTGAGCTATCACCTTTGCCTCAGCATCAATGGGAATTTCAATTTACAGCCTGTGGCTTTGGAGAGACTTTGTGACAGAAGCCATCAATCTCTGCCTTTCAAATTTATTTTATTTTATTTTATTTTTCCAGCCTGAGCGCCTGTTCTGCTATGAACTCTGTCTAATCACCTCGCAGGCAGTTGAAGGAGAGTGGGTGTCCCCTTGATCTGTGGGGTTTATGTGCATAATTCCCTTTAATTCATCTCAGACGGGTTGGAGAGCCTCGGTTGAGAATGATTTTCAAAGTCTCTCACTGAAGTTCAAAGATGCATTTCTCCAGCCAGACCAGTAAATTATAGGAGCAATTTGCCATGAATTTCCAATGTGGAGCCATTCCTAGTTCCTCTCAGGGTGCAGTCCTCTGTCCCTCATTCCCTCCTGCCAGTGGAGGTGGAGACTGTGGCCTGGTGTCTGGAGAGCATCTCCTCCCAACATTCACTGAACTGTTTATCCCAACCCACTGGTCTTCCTGGCCCCCAACTCTGTTGACCCTCCTGTTCCCCATTTCAATCTTGTCTCGAACCTGTGCTGATGCCTCATTTTTGAGGGTGGGGAGGTCCAGGTCAATTGTACACTCTGGTACAGATAAAACCTTGATCCTGAGTGTATGTCTTCACACTTTATTTGTCTGTATGATAAATGCAATTTCTGCATCAAGACTATCAGTCATTTTCTGATGTGATCTATGCAGCTCTGCTTGAATTGAATCAGCTCCTGTATTATTGTGACAGTTTATTTGGTAAGAAAATGAAATAAGATGTGTAAATTAAAGTGGAGGTGTGCTCTGTGCAATGTGGAGGTTCCCAGGGCTCAGGTGGTCCCTCTGGGGGCATTTCCATTCTCTGTTCTTTCTCCTCTTTTTTCCACTCCTTGCACTGGGCTCACAGCTCTACTGCCTTCTAAGCTCAGGTCTAAGAGACCAATGCGAAGATACAAAGCGATGGCTGAGGGAAGGTAAAGATGCTGGGATAGTGTCAAGAGCCCAGCAGATAAAAAGTGAAAACGCACTGAGACTAGAACTCAGATTAAGCTTTGTGGTCTTAATACAGAGGGCTGCAGAGAGCGCGTATGAGTGTGTGGGAGGAGGCGTTAGAGCTCCAGATGAGAGGTTAATGGTAAAGAGAACATCAAGACTCTTTACCTGTGCATTCCATGTGCTTCTGCCTCCCTCCTGCTCCTCAGCCCTTGCCATGCAGGACCATTGCTGACCTAGGGTAGCAATCCTTTTCTTTTTCCTTCTCTGCACCCCTCCCCTCCCCTATTCTTCCCTCCTCTCCTCTTACCCCCATCTTCTTTCCACACACACTCATTTCTCTCCAGCTCTGAGCTGGGCCTTGAGTGCAGTGTTAGTGCAGGAGGAAGGGGCAGCCTGTACCCTGTGCGTGGCAAGGGTGCCCACAGTGTCCTGAGTTCCTTTGAGGAGAGGCCGGTCTTGGGGTGAGATGGCAAATAAACACACACAAGATGATGCAGTGAGAAGGAGGGTGTGTGGGAGCTCCCAGGAGAGAGGAGGTGTCTCTGCCTGAACAGTCCTTGGCAGCAATGGATCCTACCTGGCTGGCTTTACCTATAAGTAATCTCAATTAATCAAACCACCACTTCTCTCCTCCCAGAGGCCTGCCCCTTCTTCTTCTGCTGTGTCATTCCAGCTGCTGCTGCACAGG
This sequence comes from Homo sapiens, assembly GCF_000001405.40. Lineage (NCBI taxonomy): Eukaryota > Metazoa > Chordata > Mammalia > Primates > Hominidae > Homo > Homo sapiens. The sequence goes on along the minus strand of NW_003315944.2, from coordinate 318,456 downwards.
CCTCAGCCAGGAAAGCAAGGGCTTCCCCCTGCCCGAGACCTCCCAGATCACATCGTGAGAGTCATTTCCCCTGCAGCATGAGGACCAGAACTGGGAGGGGTCAGGCTGGGAGCAAGAAACCACCTACAGCAAGGACAGGGACGAATTTTGTCCTCAGAAGTGGCCTGCTCTGGCCAGGCACAGTGTAATCCCTGTAATCCCAGTACTTTGGGAGGCTGAGGCGCAGACCACCTGAGGTCAGGAGTTTGAGACCAGCCTGGCCAACATGGTGAAACCCTGTCTCTACTAAAAGCACAAAATTAGCCGGGTGTGGTGGTGGGCACCTGTAATCCCAGCTACTCGGGAGGCTGAGGCAAGAGAATCACTTGAACCCGGGAGGCAGAGGTTGCAGTGAGCCAAGATTGTGCCACTGCACTCCAGCCTGGGCAACAAGAGTGAGACTCCATCTCAAAAAAAAAAAAAAAAAAAAAAGTGGCCGGCTCATTTTGGGCATATCTAACTGCTTCTGAGGTCTCAGGGAGAGGAGAAGGGTTGGCGGCCATATCCTTACCAAGGGGTAGGTTTCTCTGGTTTGGGAGCCATCTTGGGGCCTCTGAAAGTTCCAGGGGATAGTCATTGGCAGTGTTGCCCTGGGTGGAGGCACTTCTCAGCTTAGCTCCTGGCAGGGTGGAGAGAGCTTGCTGAGCTGAATCCTCTGAAATGGCACTGTCTAATGTTGTAGCTACTAGTCACATGTGGTTATTTAAATTAAAATTAATTAAAAATAAATAAAATAAACAATTTAAGGCTGGGTGTGGTGGCTTGCACCTGTAATCTCAGTGCTTTGGGATGCTGAGGCAGGAGGATTGTTTGAAGCCAGGAGTTCAAGACCAGCCTGGGCGACATGGCGAGACCCCCTTCTCTACAAAAAAAAAAAAAAAGTTTCTGGATGGAAAAGGAGATATATCATGCAAACACTAATCAGCACAAAGCAGGAGTGCCTATATCACTATCAGACAAAAAGTTCTGTTGGGCTGAGTTGGAGATTGCCAACTCCACGAGGGCAGAAATTTTGTCTGTGTTGTTCACTGCTGTGTCCTTACCGTCTGGAAGAATCCCTGGCACATAGTAGGCGCTCAGTATTTGGACACTTGAGGAGTGCTAGCCTTGATGCTGCCACCATCTTTCTGTGTGAACGGGGACACACTGCTTCCCCTCTCTGGGTCTCTTCATCCATAAATTGAAGGGTTGGCCTCATCTCTGGCATCCTTTTCAGCTTTAATGAGCTATGATCTGAAGTATCTAGTTGGCTGATTTCATTTATTTTATTCACGAGGAGGGGCCAGAGAGAGCAGGAGAGGATGAGGTGGCAGATTTGATTTTTGATTTCAGGTCTCAGTTAGCTGTGGCTCACCAGCACTTCCCCAGTGCAGGGATTTGCAGGCCTCATCTCCTGCGGCCTCTCCTTTCTGCCCGTCCTTTGTCCACAATTTCCCGATATCACCAAACAGCTTCTTGGCCCTCCCTCGCAGATCTACAGGACTGGAAGCCTGGGCGGGGCATGAGGGGCTCACCCCATTCACATAGCTTGGTCCTCCCTGCCTCCACTGTCTGGAACCTGCAGCTGTTTCTCCCTTTGGATACCTTCTGTGTTCCGTGGTTTAAGGTAAACTGCTGGAGCCTTCAACTTGAGTCCCAACTGCTGGTGCTCCTGTATGGCTGGGGGGGAGTCCCTGGCAGGAAGTCCCTGGCAGTGGGGACTCTGTGCTGGCTGCCACCTCAGGACATCTGCCAGCAAGCCTCTGGGGGATGGGCCCTGACATGGGGATGCCGCGTGTGCGGATGCAGGCCAGGCAAAGACTTGGCAGTGGGGGTGGAAGGAAGCGCATTCTTGTGTTACTGGGGGGCTCTGTGCCAAGAGGAGAAAAATAAATGTAATTACCTTCACTACTGGGATCCTGGCAGAGTGAGGGGCCAGCCCAGCCTGGCTCTAGGGCTCTGCAGGCTGAGGGTTTGGTCATGCTAGGAGGAGAAGCCTCCTTTATCTTCTCTCTTTCTTAGAGGCCTAGGGTAGGGCCAGGGAGGGCACCCTAGCTTCCCTTTTGCAGCCAGTCCCCCCACGATGCACCCAGCTTGTGCTGATGGGGATGGGAGAATACAATCCAGAGGGCGGAGAGATGATAGGTGGGTGCCAAGTCCCACCTCTGTGTGCTGGGCCTGGGGTTCGGCCGTGGTGTGTAAGTGGCTGTGTGTGAGAGGGGTCCGCCATCCCTTTGGGTCTCTCTGATTGCCACTTGCTCCCTGACACCCGTCCCTTGTTGCCCTTCCTTGCCCTGCCCTCTGCCCTGGAGAGGCTTGCTCTTGTGTGGGCTCCCTTGCTTTCTGTCTTTGGGTTGGGTTTGGCCAATGGGAGGCCCTGCGGGAGACTGGCGGGCGGGAGGAGAGGGAGGTTGGGCTGTCTCCCCCTGCCTGGGCCCTGGCAGTGGCTGCATCCTCACAGTCCCCCTTGCTCTCAGCTAAATGCTTTTGAGAGAAATTCTGGTGGTCTCTTTGAGTCTTGAGAGTTTTGATTTTGTTTCATTAGGTCTGTGCTGTGGTCTGTATGAGTGATTTGGGTCCTTAGGGTAGTGAGTCAGTATATTCTTCTGTGACTTCTCTGACAGGGGTAGTTATGTAGAGAAGGGAACATGAAATGAGCCTTAGCGTAGCATTTTGAATATACCCAGGAGAGGGTGAGGGCTACCACTTTCATGAGACTTCCTTGTGTACCATGTGGGTCAGGAGAGTGTCTTACTCAGGGTCATAGTCAAAATATTTGACAATTAGCACATCATAGCACCGACCAATCAGAATGAGGCATTGAGCTGTGTGACTGGGCTGGCTTCCCACCTCTGCCTGGGAGCACCCCTCCTGGGGAGGGAACGGTGACTGGCTGAGAGACCCTCGGCTTCCTTGAGTGCAGCTCACATTGGATGATTTTCTTTTTTTTTTTTTTTTTTGAGACTGAGTCTCACTCTGTCACCCAGGCTGGAGTGCAGTGGTGCCATCTTGGCTCACTGCAAGCTCCCCCTCCCGGGTTCACGCCATTTTCCTGCCTCAGCCTCCTGAGTAGCTGGGACTACAGGTGCCTGCCACCATGCTCGGCTAATTTTTTTGTATTTTTAGTAGAGACGGGGTTTCACCGTGTTAGCCAAGATGGTCTCGATCTCCTGACTTCGTGATCCGCCCACCTTGGCCTCCCAAAGTGCTGAGATTACAGGCGTGAGCCACCAAGCCCGGCTGGATGATTTTCTTTCTTATGGCCAATGGCAGAGGCTTGTCTTAGAGGGAAAAAATGCAAAGAAAACAAGTTAATATGTATGTGATACCTCCAGGGGAATGGAGGTGGCAGTGGGAGAGGAGGTGCCTGGAGGTTTCTGGTGAGGTGCACCTTGGAGTGGTCTTTGGGAGGGCCAAAGCCCCTCTCTTCTTACCTCTGGAGTGTAGGCAGCTGGTTGCCTAGGAGGGCAGCTGGTCCAGAGCAGGCTAGAAGTAGGAATGTGTGGCAGGGCTGACACCGTACTCTAAATTCATCCTTGACTACTAGTTTTTTCTTGCCATCTGTGACTTGCTTCTTCCCCTTGTCCTGAGGGCTCAAGTCCAGCTCTTCCTGGAACCAGTGGCCCTGGCGATATTCATTGCTGGGAATTACCTAGAAGGCAGAGATGTTGCCATGTTTGCCTTTCATTCTAATGTGCTTCCTGCTCCTGAGAGGAGGACATACTGCGGTAAGAATTCCAGGGAGGAATCTAGCCTTGGGAGGGTAGCCCCTCTTCCTGGGCCTCGGTTTCCCCAGATGATCTTGAAAGTCCCTCTCCCCTTTAAAATCCTGTCTCTGCAGAATGCAGTCGATTTTCCTTTGAGTGCAGGGGATCATTCCACCCATGCTTCCTTACCCAGAATCCTTCATACAGCCGAGCTTTCACTTTGCAAGATACTTGGCCTGGGGTGGTTGGGAGGTGGTTGGTGGTGGAGCATCGAGATGATTCCCACCCCTGCTCCCCTTAGCGATCAAACTTTGTTCCTCTGGTTCTAGAATCCTGATAAGTGGGCCTAAGAAGCTGTCATTCCCAGGCAAGGCTGGGACTAGAGTGAGACAGGCAGGGCACTTAGGGTCAACACTTAAGGAAGCACTCACTCTCAGGTGCTGACCCTGCCACTGGACACCCTGAGAGTGAGCGCCTCTTTACATTTGTTTGAGTTAAGGTCCTGTTTCGAGATATTTGTAGATTCACATGCAGTTGAAGAAATTATACCCTTTACTCAGTTTCCTCCAATGGTCACATCTTGCAAAACCATAGTACAGTGTCATAACCAGGATATTGACATGAATGTAGTCAAAATATAGAACATTTCCAGGCCTGGTGCAGTAGCTCACACCTGTAACCCCAACACTTTCGGAGGCTGAGGCAGAAGGATCGCTTGAACTCAGAAGTTTGAGACCAGCCTGGGCAACATAGAGAGACCTCATCTCTACTAAAAATTAAAAGTAAAAAATTAGCCAGGTGTGGTGGTACACATCTGTAATCCTAGCTACTTGGAAGGCTGAGGTGGGAGGATCACTTGAGCCCAGGAGATGGGGGCTGCAATTATGTTTGCACCATGCATTCCAGCCTGAGTGACAGCAATGAGAAGAGAGGAAAAAAAAAAAAACATTTCTGTCACCACAAGGATCTCTCCTGTTGTTCTTTTATAGCTTCACTCACTTCCCTCCCACCCTTACCCCTTCCTAAACCCCAGGCAACCACTAATCTTATTTCCTTTTCTATTATATTCTCATTTCAAGAATGTTATATAAATGGAGTCCTATAGTATGTAACCTTTATGAATGGCATTTTTCACTTAGCATAATTCTCTGGAGATTTATCCAGGTTGTTGATTTATCCATGGTTTGTTCCTTTTATTGTTGAATAGTATTTTATGGTATGATTGTACCATAGTTTGTTTAACTATTCACTCTTTGAAGGGCATCCAGGTTATTTCTAGTTTTTGGCTGTTACAAATAAAGCTACTATCAACATTCTTGTATAGGCTTTTGTGTGAACACAAGTCTTCATTTCTCTGGGATGAATGCTGAGGAGCGTAATTGCTCATATGGTACTTGCGTGTTTAGTTTTTTTTGTTTTTTTTTTTTAAGATGGAGTCTTGCTCCGTCGCCCAGGCTGGAGTGCAGTGGCGCGATCTTGGCTCACTGCAAGCTCTGCCTCCTGGGTTCACGCCATTCTCTTGCCTGAGCCTCCCAAGTGGCTGGGACTGCAGGCGCCCGCCACCACGCCCGGCTAATTTTTTGTATTTTTAGTAGCGATGGGGTTTCACCGTGTTAGCCAGGATGGTCTCGATCTCCTGACCTTGTGGTCCACCCGCCTCAGCCTCCCAAAGTGCTGGGATTACAGGCGTGAACACCGTGCCCGGCCTGCATGTTTAGTTTTTAAAGAAACTGCCAAACTATTTTCCAGAGTAGCTGTAGCCTTTTATATTCCGAGCAGCAATGTATGAGTGATATAGTTTCTTTATGTCCTTGTCAGCATTTGGTCATTGTTTTGTTTTGTTTTTTAGCTACTCTAGCTGGGACATGTTTTTATTTATTTTTTATTTTTTACTTTTTTGAGATGGAGTTTCACTCTTGTTGCCCAGGCTGGAGCGCAATGGCATGATATTGGTTCACTGCACACCTCCCAGGTTCAAGCGATTCTCCTGCCTCAGCCTCCTGAGTAGCTGGGATTACAGGTGTCCACCACCACGCCTGGCTAATTTTTGTATTTTTAGTAGAGACGGGGTTTCGCCATGTTGGCCAGGCTGGTCTCAAACTCCTGACCTCAGGTGATCTGCCCACCTTGACCTCCCAAAGTGCTGAGATTACAGGCATGAGCTGCCACTCCCAGCTGGGACATGTTTTTAAATCCACTTTGCCAATCTCATCCTCTCCTGTCCCTCAACTCTGATTTATTTTTCAATTTCTCTTTTAATTAGTGTATTTAGAACATTTACATTTGATGTAATTATTGATACATTTTTCATTTATCATTTTATTTTTGTTTTCTGTTTTTCTTTTCCCTCTTTTTCTGGTCTTCTTGGGGATTATTTAATATTTTAAAATTCCATCTTGATTTATCTATAGTGTTTTTGAGTATATCTTTGCATAGCCTTTTAAATGGTTGCTCTAGGTATTTCATTATATACACAAAACATCAGTTTTCTCATGTTGTCATTTTACCAATTTGAATGAAGTATAGAAACTTTATCTCTCTTTATATCCCTTTAGACTTCCCCATGTATAATATAATTGTGTTAAATATTTCCTCTAGATAGATTTAATACAGCTTAACTTCAATAGTATACAAAAACTTTGTTCCTATATAGTTCCAGTCTCTGCTTCTTCTTCTTTTTTTTTTTTTTTCTGAGGCACAGTCTCACTCTGTTGCCTGGGCTGGAGGGCAATGGTGTGATCTCAGCTCACTGCAACCTCCACCTCCCAGGTTCAAGCAATTCTTCTGCCTCAGCCTCCCCAGTAGCTGGGACTACAGTGTATACTACCACACCTGGCTAATTTTTGTATTTTTTTTAGTAGAGACAGGGTTTTGCCATGTTGCCCAGGCTGGTCTTGAACTCCTGACCTCAGATGATCCACCCGCCTTGGCCTCCCAAAGTGCTGGGACTACAGGCGTGAGCCACCATTCCCGGCCTCTCCTTCTCCTTTATGCCAGTAATTGTCATACGAATTACATCATACATTCTGTGCCCATCAACAGTATTTGTAATTATTGCTTTTGGCATTGTCTTTTAGATCATATAGGTAAAAAAAGTTACAACAAAAATAGGTTTATACAGTCTTTTATAATTACCTATGTAGTTACATTTAGTGACGTTCTTTATTTTTTACGTGGATTCAAGTTACTTATCTAGTGTTCTTTTATTTCAGCCTGAAAGACTTCCTTTAGTAGTTCTTGTAGGGAAGATTTGCTAGTAATGAGTTCTGTCAGTTTTTGTTTATCCAGAATGTCTTAGTTTATTCATTTTTGTATAGTAGTTTTGCTGGTTATAGAATTCTAGGTTGACTATCTTCTACTTTCAACATTTTGAAGACATACATCTTACTGCCTTCTGGCTTCTATGGATTTGATGAGAAAACAGCTGATAATCTCATTGAGTTTCATTGTACAGGACGAATTGCTTCTCTTTTGCTGCTTTCAAGAGTCTGTGTTGGTCTTTATCTTTTAACAGTTTGATTATGATGTGTCTAGGTGTGGATCTCTTTGTGATTATCCTACTTGGAATTTGTTGAGCTTCTTGGATGTGTAAATTAATGTTTTGCATTAAATTTGGGAAGTTTTCAGCTATTATTTCTCTCTATATTTTTTCTGCCTTTCCTCTACTCTCCTTTTGGGACTCCCATTATGTGTGTATTGACATGCTTCATGGCGTATTATGGCTTTCTGAGGCTCTGTCATTTTTCTTCATTCTTTTCCATTCCGACTAGATAATTTCACTTGAGCTATCTTCAGGTTTACTGATTCTTTCTTCTGGCTGCTCAAAGCTGCTGCTGAGCTCTTCTAGTGAGTTTTAAATTTTTTGAATTTTTTAATTTTTAAGTCTCTCTCTGTTGCCCAAGCTGGAGTGCAGTGACACGATCTCAGCTCACTGCAACCTCCACTTCCCGGATTCAAGCGATTCTCCTGCCTCAGCCTCCTGAGTAGCTGGGACTACAGGCGTGCGCTACCATGCCTGGCTAATTTTTTTTTGTACTTTTAGTAGAGACGGGGTTTCACTATGTTGCCCAGGCTTGTCTCGAACTCCTGACCTCGTGATCCACCCACCTTGGCCTCCAAAGTGCTGGGATTACAGGTGTGAGCCACCACGCCTGGCCTCTAGTGAGTTTTTTATTCTGGTTATTGTACTTTTTGAACTCCAGAATATCTGTTTAGTTCTTTTTAAAAAAATAACTTCTGGCTGCTTTCAATTGTTTTTCTTCATCTTTAATTTTCAGAAGTGTAATAATCATGCATCTTAGAATGGATTTCCTTGAGTTTATCTTGTTAGGGGTTTGCTTCTGAATCTGTAGGTGAGTGTCTCTTGCCAAATTGATGGAGTTTTCTCTCATTATTTCTTTAAGCACTCTTTCAGCCCTGCTTTCTTTTTCTTCTTCTTTTTCCTCTTGCTCTTCTCCTTCTGATGACACAGATGTTATATATTTTGTTATAGTCCCATAAGCCCCCGAAGCTGCATTTTTTTCAAGTCTGTTTTCTCCCTGTTATTCAGAATGGGCAATTTCTGTTGTTTTGTTTTCCAGTTCACTGCTGCTTTTCTCTGCCCCTCTATTCAGCTGCTGAGTCCACCCACTGAGATTTTTATTTCAGTTATGTTTTTCCATTTTGTCCTTTATGCCTTGCATTTCTTTGCTGAGATTTTTTGTTTCGTTCATTTGTTTCAAGCATGTTCATAAGTGCTCAAAGAAACATTTTTGTAATGGTTGCTTTGAAATCTTTGTCAGATAATTTTTAACATCTCTGTCATTTTGGAGTTGACATTTATTGATTGTTCTTTTTCATCCAATTTGATATTCTCCTGGTTTTTGGTATGGTGAGTGATTTTGTATTGAAACCTGGACATTTTCATGTTATAATATGAGACTCTATATCTTAATTAAACCTCTGTGTCAATTGACTTTGTCTGACAACTCTGGCAGGGGAAGGAGGTGGGGCTGCTTTGTTACTGACAGGTAGATGTAGAAATCTAGATTCCCCGCTTGTCCTCTGTTGACACCAAAGAGTGAGGGCACCTACTTGTGCCAGCTGAGCACGGGTAGGAGTTCCACCTCACCACATGGTCTCCACTGACACTGCAGGGGGCAGTTTGTTACTAGCTGGAGAAGGTGAAAGTTTCAGCTCCTTTCTTGGTCTTCTCTGATACCACCAGCGAGTGTGTTGAGGTGCCTTGTACAACCTTGAGAAGACAGAAGTCTGGGCTTCCCTCTTGGCCTTTGCTTGTGGGCCCACAGTTGGTGTTTGGCTGGAGTTGAATGGCTGTTATCCCCACCACCCCCAAGACAGGATCTCGTTCTGTCTCCCAGGCTGAATTGCAGTGGTGCAATTATAGCTCATTGTAACCTCAAATTCCTGGGCTTGTGTGATCCTCCCACCTCAGCCTTCCAAGTATCTTGGACTATCCAGGTACGTGCTACCATGCCCGGCTAAGTTTTTAAATTTTTTATAGAGACAGGGTCTTGCTATATTGCCCAGGCTGATCGCAAACTCCTAGCCTCAAGTGATCCTCCTGCCTCAGTCTCCCAAAGAGCTGGAACTCCAGGCATGAGCCACTGTGTCTGACTGAGTGGCTATTATCTAAAAGTTTCTTGTCTTGCTAAGCTGCCCCTTTCTTAGTCCTCTGGCAAGAGAGAGCAGGATTTTGTTGGTGTTTTTTGTGTATGCTCCTATTGGCATTTCTGGGTTCCTAGTGTCTTTAGCTCCAAATCAGGGATATATGGAGCAAAAAAAAAAAAAAAAAAAATTCAACCCAAGGAACACACCACCATGTTGTTCCTTGGGGCTTAAAGTTCCTAGTTGCTTTGGCCTCTTCCCTCTACCTTTCACAGTCTTCTTATGTTTGTTTTACATGTAATGTCCAGGGGTTTTAGTTGTGCTTAGCAGAAGGAATAGGGAAAAATATGCTTACTTTATCTCTCTGGAAGTGGAAATCCTTCCTTAAATTTTGAGTCTCATTGTCTCTTGCTAGACCGGTGGTCTTCCCAAGTAGGGAAATGCAGAAGAGGACAAGAATGAATGTTGATGGAGGCCCCTGGGTGCTGTGTGCTTCTGCATGTGCAAGTTTATTGAGTTCTCATGACTTGGTAAGGATGGTTTCATTATTCCCTCTTTACAGGTACGAATAACCTGAGGCTCAGAGAGAGTAGGTTCAGGCAGGTAGGCGGGCCTGTACTGGCCTTGAACCCAGTGCACATGCCTTTTCTACCACAGGTCACTCAGCAGCTAAAATCTAGGTTTGCTACTGGTATCACAAGGCCTGGAAACGTGGTTTATAACTGCTTCTTCTTTTTTTTCTTTTTCTTTTTCTTTTTTATTTTTGAGACAGGGTCTTGTTCTGTCATCCAGGTCGGAGTACAGTGGCACAATCTCGGCCCACTGAAACCTCTGTCCCACCCTGGGCTCAAGTGATCCTTTCACCTCAGTCTTCTGAGTAGCTGGGACTACAGGTGTGTGCCCCAACATGTGGCTAATTTTTGTGCTTTTTGTAGAGACGGGGTTTCACCATGTTGCCCAGGTTGGTTTCAAACTCCTGGGCTCAAGCGATCTGCCTGTCTCAGCCTCCCAAAGTGCTGTAATTACAGGTGTGAGCCACAGCATCTGACTATTATCTTTTTTGTAGAACCTTTTTTTTTTTCCCCCTTTAATAGAGATGAGATCTTACTGTCTTGCCCAGGCTAGTCTCAAACACCTGGGCTCAAGTGATCCTCCCATCTTGGCCTCTCAAAGTGCTGGGATTACAGGCGTGAACCACCACACCTGGCCCACAGAAACATTTTAAAATAAATTATATCAAGATATTCACTCCTATGTCAACATACATCTCCAAAAATCCCCACATTTTCCTACATAATCACAATAATCACAAGAACATTATTGCAACTGACAAAATTAATAATTTTCTAATATCTTCTAGTATCTAATCCATATTAAAATTTTCTCTATTGTCACCCAAATGTCTCTTATAGCTATTCATTATTGCATTGGTTGTTTGGTCCCTTTGTCTTGTTTAACCTGGGTTGGTTTCTGACCTTTGAAGAGTTTTGTTTTGGCTGATTTTGGTGGAGAGGGTAGAAAGGAGCAAAGGTGCTTAGGGGGTCAAAGCTGGGACTCTCTGACTCAGTTTCTCTCTGGGGACCTCTGGTCAGAGTTCTCCTTGGGATCCTGTCTTTCTTGTAAGCAGGTAAGCTGTGGTGCAGGAGAGGGCCTGAGAGTTCACCCTCACATACTCAGAGTTTAGATTTAGGACAACTTAGACTTTGTACACCAGCTCCTGCCCTGGGACCCCAGAGTCTGACTAGAAGGCCTCAGTTGCCAGTTCCAAATGAAAGAACAAAAATTGACTCATGCTGTTTCTTGAGAAGCCAGAGTGGTGGGTGCAATTCAAAGTGACTTTTCCCTTCCACTGCAAAGAATTTATCATGCCCGTAAAAACCACACGGTAGCCTGCATGTGAGGCGGGCCCTCGGAATCAGTGGCCCGATGCTCTCCGACCTCCATGAAGGTCTCAGCTCCTACCCCACTTGGGGGTGGCTGAGTGCGCAGGCTCAGGCAGCTGGGATGGCAGAGGTGCTTTGGGATTGCTGGGGTGGGCACAGGGGCAGGGGGTTGAGGTATGTGAGTACTGGGGCTGACTTTTGTGAGTCCAGGATCTGGAAACTCCTCTCCTCGGACGGTGAACTGAGGATGAGGTAGCTGTTCTGTGTAGAGCTTTCTGTAGCTAAGAGAGTGTAGGCTGGGGGTGGGAGAATAGCACCCGTCTTACAGCCAGATGCCTCTAGCCAGTTCCTTCAGGCCCTGGAGGGTGGAAAGACCAGGTCAGCACGGCTGAAATAAGTGGCGTCTTTTCCTGACATGGTTCATACCTGCTTTCTACATGCTGCCTCGGTGCCAAATGGGCCAGACCATCGCCCTCTGAGAGGCTACTTACCTGCCTGTGGGCGCCAGAGCTTCTGGAGAGGGGAGCAGAGTCCTGACTGGCAGTCCTGAAAGAAACTGACCAGTCCTGAAGGAAATCCAGCCAGAGGCCCGAAGGAAGTTTCCAGAAAGGGAAGGACTTCCTCGACATTCTGTATTGGTTGGACAGTTGGGGATCAGGGAGCTGTTGCTCAGAGATACTGAGGGAAAGGAGGGTGAGCAGGATGTTGGGGAGGCCAGAGGCAGGTGTGCTGGGGCCAGGGCCACCCCTAGGGGTCACGGAGACTGAAGAGCAGACTGCCAGGCCAGCTGCAGCATGCTCCTTCCCTCCAGAGGGGCTGGAGTGCTGCCCACTCCTCATTCTGCCTGAGTGGCTGTTACCAAGGAGAACGGAGCCCAACCTTAGCATGGAGGGCCGTCATGCCCGCTCACCACGGGTGTGATTGCTCTCTACTGCCATTAAATATTTCATTGTGAAAACACAGGGGTTCAAATGGGCTGCCAAGCAGGCACTGGGCATTGATTACTCTAATGGCTGGTGGCTGCCTGTGTGGTGTGTGTACGCATTTGGGGTTGTATATGCACATATTGTCTACATATATGGTGGGTGTGCACAGGTAAGGTATTGGTGCATGCATGTGTGATGAGTATGTGTGTGTGTATCACTTGTGTGTGTGTGTGCATGCACGCGTGAATGTACATTGGGGGTCTCAGCACTTACCATGGCTTCAGCCCCCCATCTGCCATTCCTCTTTCCTAGAATTCTGCTCTCCTGGGACACTGGAGAAAGCCACCCCACCCCACCGGGATCAAGAGCTAGGTCTGGAGGCAGGTTTTTTTTTTTTTTTTTTTTTTTTTTTTTGAGATGGAGTCTTGCTCTGTCGCCCAGACTGGAGTGCAGTGGCACAATCTTGGCTAACTACAGCCTCCGCCTCCTGGGTTCAAGTGATTCTTCTGCCTCAACCTCCCGAGTAGCTGGGACTACAGGCTCGCACCAACATGCCTGGTTAATTTTTTTTTTTTTTTTTTTGGGATTTTTAGTAAACAGGGTTTCACCATATTGGCCAGGCTGGTCTCAACCTCCTGACTTTGTGATCCACCTGCCTCGGCCTCCCAAAGTGCTGGTATTACAGGCATGAGCCACCGTACCCGGCCTGGAGGCAGGTTTTTAATGGCAGGCCACATGTCAGGGTGTCGGCAGGGAGAGGTGCCATCATTGCAGAGCGGCAGTGGTTCTTTTGTTACACTTTCCTTTCTAGCTGTGGTTTCACAGCTCCTCCATCACCCCTTTATCCCTTGAGCATCACCCCTGTCCAGTGCTGCTTGGCCTCAGCACCCCTGGGTGCCGTGTGCCTCATCCTACCCTTTCTTCCCCCTGGTGTCTCCTACCCTGTGTCAATCCCTCCCTACCCCAACAATCTTCTGAGAGCAACTGTGGGTGGGGGCTTCCTCTGCAGCCTCGAAACAGCCTCTCCAGCCCCACATTCTGCAGGAGGAGGAAGGACCAGGGAAAGATAACAGTGGAGGAGGGGCTGTGCTCCTGAGGCTGAGGCCTGGAGGAAGAACAGGGCGAGAGGGATAGGTGAGCTGGACTTGTGGTGGGATGAGGGAGAAGCGAGGACCTCAGTGGGGTCTGCGGAATTACGGGACCTAATTACCCAAGCAGTGAGGGCTTCTGGTCTTGGTCTGTCATCACACACCAGGGCTGGTCCTTTGGAGACCCTTTCCTTATGATCCTGAGTCACATGGAGGCCATGTGGTCCTGACTCTACTCGCCACCCTACCTTCTGAATGGGGTGTACATGCAGGGGCAGCCCAGCCATCTGGCCTTGGGCTCGTGTCTGAATACTTCTGTTTGGCAGTGGGGAGGGCTGAGGGGTACTTTGGATCTCAGTGGCAATAATCTCTAGGGACAACCTGACCTCACCCAAGACTCCATGATGCATGCTGGGCTTTAGGGCTGGAAGGAACCTCAGAGGCGATTCACCAACCCCTACCTCAGAGTGAGCTTGCTCATACCCGGCCCACTTCTGCACCCCGCTGGAGTCAGGAATCACCTCAGTTTGTGGTTTAACAGCCATGCTAATAATAGGAAGGTTCTGCCTTAAGTTTAACTTCACTCCTTCATGTAGAAGTATAATCTCTTTTGACTCTTCCAGTGGAGATGGAGGTGGCTGCTGTTGTCACAGCCTCCTTGTTGGGTAGCCTAGGCTCTGTCATTCCTGTCACCTCCCTGGAACTAAGGCGGGGGGAGGGATGAGGATAACTGATCATGAGGTAAGACCCCTGAATTACTAGAGAAAATAACTACCTAGGAAAAGTATAATCATTTCTCTCGAAGAAACCATACCTGATTATCCCCTAGAGAGTCTTACAAGGAGTGAAAAAATGTAAGCAAGCAGGAATCAATACATACAATTCAGATTTCAAAACAGTCTTTGGGTTTACAGTACAAGCTCTCATAAGAAAACCACTGTTTGTTTCTGTTTTATTTGTGTAAATGTAAAAGTAAAACTTGTTCTTTACAAAAAACTACAAAAACCCAGAAACGTATAAAGTAGAAAACCAAAATCAGCTGTGATTCCGTAAAGCAGGGCCTAGCTCAGTGCCACACACATAAGGAGCCTCACTGGAGAATTGTTGAACCATTGAAGGAGGCAAAGGCAAACAAAGCTTCTGGCAACATTTTGGTATGTTTCCTTCTAGGCTTGTTTTCTGTGAATATTGACGTATTCATAGTTGAGGTTATACCGTATACAGATTTGTATATAGATCTGCTTTTGCATTTCATCTTATAACTTGAGAATTTCCTAATGTTATTATAAGGTTGTAATTGGCTGCTGATAGATCATCTTGTAGATATACCATATTTTATTTTATTTTATTTTATTTTATTTTTGCCAAACCCCTACTGGTAGATATTTAGATTGTTTCTAGTTTGGACTATATTATGTAATATTTCAAGGGACTTTTTTTACATTGTTAGCATATCTTTTTTTGTTTGTTTGTTTTTTGTTTTTAAGATAGGGTCTGATTCTGTTGCCCAGGCTGAAGTGCAGTGGTGCAATCATGGCTCACTGCAGCCTCCATCTCCTGGGCCAAACCAATCCTCCTGCCTCAGCCTCCCGAGTAGCTGGGACCACAGGAACACATCACTATGCCCAGAGAATTTTTAAATTTTTTTGTTAGTGTTGGTGTGCCTTAACTACACAATTACTCACATAAATAGAGATCTGGGGCTTTGGTCTTGGCTGTGGGCCCAGGAACTGGTTCTGGCAGTGGGAGCCTCTGGGCTGGCTTGGGGAGCAGGGTCCTGGCCCAGTTGATGGCCAGTCAGTTTACTGGAGTCTCTGAAACATCAAGGCAGGAGAGCAAGCCAGAGATTGACAGCAAATAGCAGCGGAGTGGAGACTTGACGGACGTGGAGGCTAGAAAAACACCCAGGGCACTAGGACTGGGAGGAGAGGAGGGTGGGGAATGGGGAGATTTTCAGCTATGGCATCTACATTTTTTGGATTATCCACTGCTCTTTATAAAAGAAGTTTTGAACTCTAATATACGTCAATTTATGAATGAAGTATATATGTACTACTTATCAATGAACACTAAATAATTAATAAAATTATTTTTCTCCATTTAGAGAAAATAATTCAGACAGGAGATATGTTTTTTTTCCCTTGCATGCCACAGACCCCTTTGCCCCTTTGGAGAACACCTGCTATCAAGAGTTGAGGGGCTGAGCCAGGCCAGGAAGAGGTTGTAGGGCCCCAGTGCAATTAGGAGGACCTCCAGAGGGAGAGAAAGGGCCTCTGGGTGAATTCAGAGTCACACCCAGTGGCTTACTCCAGAGATGATTATTTAACTTTTTTACAAGTGATTTGAAAGTCAGCATTCAGCCTGGGCATGGTGGCTCATGCCTGTAATCCCAGCACTTTGGAAGGCCATGGCAGGCGGATGGCTTGAGCCCAGGAGTTTGAGAGCAGCCTGGGCCACATAGTGAGACACAGTCTCTAGAAACAAAAGGAGGCTGGGCTCGGTGGCTCACACCAGTAATCCAGCACTTTCGGAGGCGAGGTGAGTGGATCATTTGAGGTCAGGAGTTTGAGACCAGCCTGGGCAACATGATGAAACCCCGTCTCTATCAAAAACAAAAAAATTAGCCAGGTGTGGTGGTGCATGCCTGTAGTCCCAGCTACTAGGGAGGCTGAGGCAGGAGAATCACTTGAACCCAGGAGACAGAGGTTACAGTGAGCTGAGATTGCGCCACTGCACTCCAGCCTGGGCGACAGAGTGAGACTCCGTCTCAAAAACGAAAAACAAAAAACAAAAAAGAAAGTGACTTCGATGAATGAGCTTCAGGCTTGCTGATGACGTTGAGATCACATGGGTGGTGAAGTACCAAGGTAGGAAACAAACCAGCTATGGGGGAAACTGAAGAGGTTTGTGCGCGATCAGAGAAATGGTAGATGAGGGACAAAGTGTCTGAGTATAAAGAAATAGATTCATAGCAGTGGTTTCCAACCCAGGGTCCCTTTAAGAAGTATACCCAGAATTTCCAAAAGAATCTCCCCGCCTCTGTTGAACGTTTGTCTATGTTAAGGGACCATTTTTCTCTGCTTTTATTTGAGACTGTCAAGTTCACATGGTAGGTAGTCTTCACGCTGATCAGAGCTCTTGACTGGTAGTTATGAATGCCTTTGATTAAAATTGGAAAAACTGTTTCAATTATTTGTTTATGTATTTATTTATTGAGATGGGGTCTCACTGTAGTGCCCAGGCTGGTCTTGAACTCCTGAGCTCTAGCGATCCTCCCACTGCGGCCTTCCAAGTAGCTGGGATTACAGGCATGCACCAGCGTGCCCAGCTTTCAATTATTTCTTGATAAATATAACTTGTTCTGTGGGCAAAATTTCTTGAAACCTGGAGGCCTTGTTAAGGCGGGGGGTGGCTCAGGAGAATTCGTTAAAGAGGTCCTTATTGGAAGAAATGTTGAACTCCTGCTGGGATGTAAGCTACCTGTTAGGACACAATGAAGGACAAAGACATTTTGGAGGCGGTATAGATGTAGTTGGAACCTAAAAACATCTGGCTAGGTGCAGTGGCTCACGCCTGTAATCCCAGCACTTTGGGAGGTTGAGGCGGGCGGATCACGAGGTCAGGAGATTGAGACCATCCTGGCCAACATGGTGAAACCCCGTATCTACTAAAAATACAAAAAATTAGCCGGGCATGGTGGCATGTGCCTGTAGTCCCAGCTATTCAGGAGACTGAGGCAGGAGAATGGCTTGAACCCGGGAGGCGGAGGTTGTAGTGAGTTGAGATCGCACCACTGCACTCCAGCCTGGGCGATAGAGCGAGACTCGTCTCAAAAAAACAAAAAACAAAAACAACAAAAAACATCAGCTCCATGAGAGCAGTGGCCCCAAAGGCAGGGAAAATGTGCATGGAATGAACCTGGAGATGAGAGTGAACATACTGTCCTACCGAGACATCTCAGAGCCTGGGATTATCGCATCAGACTCTGATGAATCAGAGATCTTGCCCAGTATTAAGATTTACTAATAATTTCAAGGACATAAGTAATCAGGAAGCACAAATGAGACAGACAAAGGTCTGGGACCACTACACATCTCACCAAGCCTTTTTTCCTCACATCAGAACTTACTCTGCCCAGATTTACATATGAAGTGTCTAAGAACTGTATGTGGCTCCATTACTTACACAGAAGAGAGCTATTTTAGTTTTGAAAAATCTCCAGCATATACTCAGATAGTTACATAGTTTATGTGACAAAAGGGATCCATGCTCTGTAAATGTGTAGATTTCCATATTTATTTACCATAAGCAATCCTAGACACTCATATAAACGAGGTACATCTGCCTTAAAGAATTCTACAGATAAGGACTTACTGTTAGCAAACACCATTGGTTTATTTTTAGAGGTCTGTCATCTGTCTTTAGCATGTTTACTAGGGGATTTGACCAGTCATGTTTCTTTCCCAGGATTCCCCCACATTCCCCCTTAACCATTTCCTTTCAGAAGGGAAACCACTTTGAGCCATGATACACCTACAGTTGCCACAGGCAATAGTTTCTGGTCTTAGTCACCTTAATTCCTGGTTGAAAGTAGATGGAGTGAATGCCACACTTCAGAGAAGTCACAAAAGAGCCGTTCTTCCCACTCTAAACCTGTCTGCACCTAAATAGGTAGAGTGACCTTTCTAAACAGAAATCTGCTACAGGTCTCTTCCTACCCCTGCTTAAAACTTTCAGTAGCTCTCGTCACACTTAGGATAATATCCCAAATCCCACCTCACCACCACCAACTTTTTTTTTCTGAGACAGAGTCTCACTCTGTTGCCAGGCTAGAGTGCAGTGGCATAATCTCAGCTCGCTGCAACCTCTACCTCCTGGGTTCAAGTGATTCTCCTGCCTCAGCCTCTCGAGTAGCTGGGATTACAGGCGCCCGACACCATGCCCGGCTAATTTTTGTATTTTTAGTAAAGACGGGGTTTTTGCATGTTGGCCAGGCTGGACTCAAACTCCTGACCTCAGGTGATTCACTCGCCTCAGCCTCCTGAAGTGCTGGGATTATAGGCATGAGCCACCACGCCTGACCCCAAATCCTGAATATGGGCCTGCACCATGTACCACCTGCCTGCTTTCCCAGCCTCATCTCCCAGCACTGGTTCTCCCCCGGTTCCAGCCATACTGGCCTTCATTTAGTGCTCTGAGTGCTCTGTGTGCCCTCCTGCCTCAGGGC